>NC_000012.12:111399521-111551037 GCF_000001405.40 Homo sapiens
TGGCTTCTCCCAGAGTGGATGGCTCAAGAGAGTACAAGGAGAAGCCTAAATGCTTCTTATGACTCAGTCTCAGAAGTCACACAGCGTCACTTCCACTTTAGTCTCTGTTAGAAATGACTCATTAAGGCCAGGTGTGGGGGCTCACGCCTGTAATCCCAGCACTTTGGGAGGCCGAGGCGAGCGGATCACGAGGTCAGGAGATCAAGACCATCCTGGCTAACACAGTGAAACCCTGTTTCTACTAAAAATACAAAAAATTAGCTGGGCGTGGTGGCTCGTGCCTATAGTCCCAGCTACTCAGGAGGCGGAGGTTGCAGTGAGCCGAGATCGCACCACTGCAGTCCAGCCTGGGTGACAGAGCAAGACTCTGTCAGAAAGAAAGAAAGAAGGAAAGGAAGGAAGGAAGAAAGGAAGGAAGGAAGGAAGGAAGGAAGGAAGGAAGGAAGGAAAGGAAGGAAGGAAGGAGTCATTAAGTCCAGCCCACACTCAAGGGCAGGGGAATCAGGTTCCACCTTTTCAAGGGAGGTATGTCAAAGAAGTGTGGACTGTTTTTAAGCCACGAGGAGCACCTGTTATGTGCCAAGAACTGTGCTCACAAGAGTGAGCAAGACACACAAATGCCTGGCCGAGTGGAGCTGACCTGCTCCTGGGGGTGGGGGAAAGAGACTGCCAATAAACAGATGAATCAATGATTCTGGTATCAGTCAGGGGGCCACAAGGGTGAGGAAGAAAAAACATGCAGAGGCAAGTCAGGCGCGGTGGCTCCTGTAATCCTAGCACTTTGGGAGGCCAAAGTGGGAGCATTGCTTGAGCCCAGGAGTTTGAGACCAGCCTGGACAACATAGAGAGACCCTGTTTCTACAAAAAATAGAAACAATTAGCCAGGCATGGTGGGGTGCACCTGTAGTCCCAGCTCCTTGAGAGGCTGAGGCAGCAGGATCGCTTGAGCCCAGGAGTTCAAGGTTGCAGTGAGCCATGATTGTACAACTGCACTCCAGCCTGGGTGATGGAGTGAGACCCTGCCTCTAAGAAAAAGAAAGAAAAAAAGCAGGAGCAGAAGAGAGATGGAGATGGTCAGCAATGGGGGCAGGGCTGGTTTAGGTTTGGTGGGCAGTCAGACATCTCCTGGGAGTGAAGAAAGCAAGGGTAGACAGCTGGGCGCGGTGGCTCACGACTATAATCCCAGCACTTTGGGAGGCCAAGGCGGGAAGATTGCCTGAGGTCAGCTATTCAAGGCCAGCCTGGCCAACATGGTGAAACCCCATCTCTACTAAAACTACAAAAAATTAGCTGGGCATGGTGGCTTTCACTTGTAATTCCAGCTTCTCAGGAGGCTGAGGCAGAAGAATCACTTGAACCCAGGAGGTGGCAGAGGCTGCAGTGAGCCAGGATTGAGCCATTGCACTCCAGCCTGGGCAACAGAGTGAGACTCCGTCTCAAACAAAACAAAACAAAAACATCTGGTGGAAGAGCATTCTGGGCACAGGGAACAGCCAGTGCTAAGGCCTTGAAGTGGGAGCATGAAGGTGAGTTTGAGGAACAGCCAGGAGGAGCCCAGTGTGCTGCAGTGTCCTTTGATAATGCTCAGCACTCTGTGCATTCACTGAAGGCCACTAGGGACAAAGTGTCCTACACAATGTCATTTCCCTTCACCCAACTACTATCATGCCCATTTGACAAGCCAGAGATACTGAGGCTCAGAAAGTGGGAGCCTGTTGCTGGTGGCAAGAGGGGACCTTTGGAGGTTGCACAGCAGTGCCGTGATGGAAACTCGGGCATGGGAAACACCAGCAGTAGCCATTGCCCAGCTGGGGGCCAGGCCAGGCCAGGTCCCCGGGCCTCCTCCTCGCCTGTGGCCCAGGCCTGCAGAAGCACATTTTACAAATGCAGACAGCAAGGCCTCCACTCTGGCTGGGTGACCCTGGGCAAGATCTTTGCTCTCAAACCTCAGTGTCTGCATCTGTAAAAGGGGTGTGAAGCTCTGTTGTTTACAGGACTGGTCTTTGTGGCCACTCCTCTTCACAACCCTCGAGGGACACGGGACTCTCACACCCAATCATAGATTATAATCACATTCTTTTTTTTTTTGAGACGAAGTCTCACTCTTGTCACCAGGCTGGAGTGCAATGGTGCAATCTCGGCTCACTGCAACCTCCGCCTCCCAGGTTCAAGCAATTATCCCTGCGTCAGCCTCCCAAGTAGCTGGGATTACAGGCACCCACCAGCACGCCCAGTTAATTTTTGTATTTTTAGTAGAGACAGGGTTTCACCATGTTGACAAGGCTGGTCTCAAACTCCCGACCTCAGGTGATCCATCTGCTGCAGCCTCCCAAAGTGCTGGGATTACCGGCATGAGCCACCGAGCCTGCACTATATTCAACATTCTTTATCAGTCGTTGCTATGTGGAGGTACCTCCCCCACTCCTAAGCCCTCAATGTGAGTTTTCTCATCAAATTCCCCCTCAACCCAATGGGGTCAGTCCTGTCACTGTCCCCATTTTCCAGATGAGGAAACTGAGGCCCAGAGAATCTATGTGACTGCACAGCTAGGAGATACAGAACAGAGAACTCTTTTTTTTTTTTTTGGAGACGGAGTCTCGCTCTGTTGTTGCCAGGCTGGAGCACAGTCGCGTGATCTCAGCTCACTGCAACCTCCCCTTCCTGGGTTTAAGCGATTCTCCTGCCTCAGCCTCCCGAGTAGCTGGGACTACTGGCACCCGCCACCACACCCGGCTAATTTTTGTATTTTTAGTAGAGATGGGGTTTCACCATATTGGCCTGGCTGGTCTTGAACTCCTGACTTTGTGATCCACCGCCTCAGTCTCCCAAAGTGCTGGGATTACAGGCCTAAGCCACCGCGCCTGGCCCACTTTTTGAATTTTTATGAGTATATAGTAGGTGTATATATTTATGGAGTATGTGAGGTATTTTGATACAGGCATGCAATGTGTAATTATCACATCAGGGTAAATGAGGTATCCATCACCTCAAGCACTTATCATGTATTTGTGTTTGTACTAGTTAACTTTTGTTGTTATTTAAATTATTATTAATACGAATTGCTAATATGAATATTAATAGCATTGATCATTGTTAATTTATTGCTGTTGACTCGTGTTGTAATCGTTATCTTTTTAATTTTTTTTTTTTTTTTTTGAGACGGATTTTCACTCTTGTTGCCCAGGCTGGAGTGCAATGGTACGATCTCGGCTCACCGCAACCTCCACCTCCCGGGTTCAAACAATTCTCCTGCCTCAGCCTCCTGAGTAGCTGGGATTACAGGCATGCGGCACCACACCTGGCTAATTTTGTATTTTTAGTAGAGACGGGGTTTCTCCATGTTGGTCAGGCTGGTCTCGAACTCCCGACCTTGGGTGATCCGCCTGCCTCGGCCTCCCAAAGTGCTGGGATTACAGGCATGAGCCACCGCGCGTGGCCTGTAATTGTTATTAATCCTGTGAGTCTCCGGCTTTCTGGAACTTGGCCAGCAGGAGGTGTTGGTGTTTTTCACAGCAAGAAGGAAGGGCGGTTGGACCTGCTCCCCTAAGACGGCCTGGCTTGTTTCCGGGAGCTACGGATCAGTCATGGGAATTTGAATAACCCTTTCTCTCCTTAGGTCCCAGTGACCTGCCGAGTGGGAAGAGCCGTGGCTGGCCGGCCTCCCAGTGGCGACGACGACCTCGCTGTGTTCGTGGCAGCGGCACTCTCAAATCTGGGCACGGTGATGGGAAGGTTATTTGTTGGAATCCCTTTGCCTTTCCAAGGGAAAATAAACACAAAAAGTGAGAAGTCTTGGGGTCTCAGCGAGCGCCAAAACAAAAAACTGGACTCTGGCGGGGATGTGGGCAAGAAGCGACTAAGCGAGGAAGGAAACCAGTTTGGGCCTCCGAGAAATCTGGCAGGCGAGAAGGTTTGAACCGTGATTAAAAAGGGGAAGAACCACAAGTCCCAATTTAAGTCAGCAGAGCTGCTGTCTGGGCAGTGAGAGGGAAAGTGCTTGTGGCTGGCAGATTTCAGCAGCCATTTGGCATTGGCTGGGTACCGGGCTGCTCTGTGGGTGCTGCCTGGCAGCTGCATGGCTACAGACAAGTAACTGTTCTCTCTTGGCCGCAGTGTCCCCAGGTATAAGAAAGTGATCAAATAATATGGGATGATCCATTCAGACTTTTTTTTTTTTTTTTTTTAGAGACAGAGCCTACCTCTGTCTCCCAGGCTCGAGTGCAGTGATGCAATCTTGGCTCACTGCAGTGTCCACCTCCCAGGTTCAAGCGATTCTTCTGCCTCTGCCTCCCCAGTAGCTGGGACTACAGGTGCGTGCAACCATGCCTGGCTAATTTTTGTATTTTTAGTAGAGACAGGGTTTCACCCTGTTGACCAGGCTGGTCTCAAACTCCTGACCTCAGGTGATCCGCTGGCCTCAGCCTCCCAAAGTGCTGAGATTGCAGGTGTGAGCCACTACACCCGGCCTCGTTTAGACTTCATTGACATTCCCCCACCCCACCCCTCTTCCCACATCCTCAGATGCCGTGTGAACAGCTTGAATCCCACACTCCACAGGTCCTTCTCCTCACAACCCTCCATGGCACCCTACTGCCTTCAAAATAATTCCCAAAGTCCCCACCAAGACCTTCAAGACACCATGTGATGGGCCCACCTTTGAAACATCATCTCTTACCAGTATAGGTGTCACCACTGCCTTTATGACTTTATTCCAAAGCACCACATGTATTCCCACCTCAGCACCTTTGCACATGCTGTTCCTTTGGCCTGGAATGCTCTTCCCTCAGACGTTATAGCACCTGGATCCTTCTTGTCATGGAGGGTTCTAAGCTCACATGTTAGTTCCGCAGAGGTGTCCTTCCTGAGCCCTGGATCTAAGACATCCCCTTCCAGCTCTCCATCCCGTAACTGTTTTGTCATTGTCATAGCTGATCCCACTTGCTTATTCGTGCCTTATGTCCCCCCACTAGAATATCAGCTCCACGCAGGCAGGGATATCTGTGTTGTTCACTGCTGTGTTCCCAGCGCCTAGAACAGTGCCTGGAAATGTGCGGAAAGCAGATTTTTGTGGCCTTTTTCTTCAAGGTCATTGGACACCAGGAATCCTGTAGCAGACCGCTCCCTTCCCCCATCTACTCGGAGTCTGGAAATCCCCACCTTCTGGGGAACCCCTTCCTGTAGTTCTAAGGTCAGGACTGGGGCCGATTTGTTTAACACAGAGAGCTTCCTGGAGCCAAGCCTCGAGCTAACTGCTTTAATGCATTAACTCACTTAATTCTCACTGCCAGGAGAGTGGGTACACATTATTTCCATTTCATAGGCAAGGAAGTGGAGAGGTACGGAGAAGTCAAGTCATTTGCCCGGGTAGGAAGAGGGGGAGGCAGTGGAATGGAGACACTTGCTGCCTGGGAAGACTCGAGGTGGCCCCTCCAAGCTGGGGGCGTGGGCGACTTGTTTCCTGTTGGGGGAGGGGGAGAAGAGTACATTCCTCCCTCCCCGCCCTCCCACATGTTGGGGGAGAGGCTGGCTGAGAGCATGTCCCACTCCGGACTAGGGGGAACCCCACTGTCCGTCTCAGCTCCCCATGAGGCCGTGGAGAAAATGTAAGTAGCCCGGGGGCGGGCAGGGGGGTGGGCGCAGAGGCCACGGAAGCCAGCGGTCGGAGAGGGCTTCCTGGAGAAAGATGCACCCCTCCTAGAATTGGGGGACAGGACGGGCGGCCGGAGCGAGGCTGGGCTATACGGGCACCGGCTGTAGCAAAGGCAAAGCTGAGGGCTGGGGCCAGAACCCAAATCGGGGGCCTGGGGCCGTGGCGGGTCGGGTCAGCATGATCGCAGATAGTCAGGGTCGGGCAGGGCTGGGCTCCCTCCCTGGGGCGATGATGAAAGCCGTGGTCGCTATTGCACCGCCCAGCCCTGCGGGCACTGATAAGGCCCTGCAGGAGGGAGTCAGCAAGGGCGCGCCCCCTGGAGGCCAGGCCCCTCGACCCTGCCCGCCCTAGGCCCCGCCCCTTCATCTGGCCCCGCCTCCAGGCGCTGAGGCACCTGGTGACCTGCCGGCGTTGAGTGGGTGGGGCTAAAGTCGCCCCGCCCCTCCGATCCTCACTTCTATCTTCAGACTGTGGGACGCGAAATCGGGTGGGCACGTGGTGGGCGTGGCTTCGCAAGGCCTCGCCTTTTTCCGGACCCGCGCCAGGAGAGCCCTCCGACCCTGGCAGCCGCGGACTAGCGGGATTGGTAGGCGGGGCCAGTCCGGGCTCCGCCCTCATGGCCCGCCCCTCCAGCCGAATCTCCGACTCGCGCGCGGCCTGAGGCGTGGCTCCTGGTGGCCCCGCCCCTGCCCCGCCCCTGTCGCGGCCGGCCTCCCCCGCCGGGCTCCGCTCGCACGGCCGGTTCCTCTTTACATAACGGCGCGGGGCGGCATGGGCCCGGGCCACCGCCTCCGCCCGGCTGCCCGCCCGGACTGTCGCGGCCCGCGGTGGCGACGGCGGCCGCTGCAAAGTTTCCCCGGCGGCGGCGGCCCGGGGGCGCATCCTCCCGCAACTGTCAAGCGCTGGCGGCGGAAATGATGAGGCGCTGGCCATTTTCCGAGCCCGGGTTTCCTGCCTGAGCCCCGCTCGAGCGAGCCGCGAGCGAGGAGCCGGCGGGCGGGAGAGGACGCGCCCAGGGCGGGGGCCCGCCCGCCCCCTCGGGATTTCGAGGGCCCGGGGGCGCGCGACGCCATGGGCCGGCCGGGCCCAGAGCTCCTGTCTCTCAGGTGAGCCCGCGTTTGCCCGCGCTCCCCTCCTCCGGGGCCGGGAGGGCTTTTGTGGGGAAAGAGGAGGCCCCGTGTCCAGTTCTGCCCGGGCTCTGCGCGTCACCCCCAGCCCAAAATACTGCCCTGCAGCCAACTCGGATGGAGGCGTTCCGGGGTGACGGCTCCCAGCGCCTACGACCCCCCACTCAGCCACTACCCCCACCCACACACGTGTTAGGGAGAGCGTTGGGGTAACTGAGGCCGTGGGATGGGGGAGAGGGCATCGCTGACGCCCCCAGCCCACCCTACGGTAGCCTCGCCGGTTGGGGGCGGCCCTCCCCTCAACTTGTGCCTGGGGAGGAGCGGTCAGGGGTCACCCATTGCTACCCTGAAAGTGAAAGTAGTCAAACTGAGGCTGTGAGCACAGATGAGCCCTTGGGTGTGGGGGCAGCGGGGGAGGATGCGCCGGCCCCTCCCCACTCCCCATTCCGGGCCATGTGGCTAAGAGGGTAGCGCCCTGATTCAGGAAGCCCCTCTCCCCAGTTCCTGCACTGCCGAGGTCGACCGGGCCAGGCCCCCGCATGCTGCTGAATTGGGCGGTTCACCAGGGCTAGGCGTCCCAGAGACAGGTTTCTGGTATTGATCCTCTCACACCTCTTGCCTGGGGTTCCCTGGGAATCCCCCGACCAAAAAACGTCTGGAGTGGGTGTTGGTCTTCTAGATCCGCACGGTAGGGATGGTATTTCAGAGGTCTCTGATGCCTGGTGCAGAAATCCCCTTCCCTCCCTTCCCTCCCTCCGGCCAGGGGAGCTTTGTTTTGAGGGAGGGGGACTGCATTTGAGGAACTGGAGAGGAGGGTCTGCCTGCCTGTCCCGCTTCTTTTTTTCTTTAGTTTCCTCATTCTCCTGTTTCTCTTCCCCATTCCCAGCCACAATGATGTAGGTGAGGAGGTCACTGCCTGCAGCTGGGGGCCTCCAGGGAGGGGCACGGCCAGGCTGGGCTGAGTGGGAGGAAGTGAAATCTGGTGGGGGGTTCAGAGCAGAGGCCCCGGCAAGGCAATGTCGGCAAGGCCAGCTTTGGTGGCAGGAGGGACCGAGATCTGACCCGCAGCCCCTCGCCGGGGAGATGACAGTTCCCTAACACCGGCTAGCAGCCAGGCCTCAGGGCCCCTGCCAGGGCAGTGGGCCTGTGGGTCTCCAGGGATGCAGGCGCAGGTTGTGTCTGGGTTTCCCATCACTGACCTGGCTGCCTGAGTGGAAACAGCTCTGGAGGCTCCTCGGGACCTGCCCTCGTGGAGGGAGAGCCGTCAGAGGCCACCTGGGCAGGCTGGGCTCGGAGGATGAGAGCCAGGGCCTACTGGGGGAAGTTGGAAGGGTTTTTAGTGCACTTTTCCTGAGCCTTTTCCCACTACCCCCTCTGGGAGGGAAAATCCTTCTGAGCCAAAGGGTGAGCATTCCTAGAACTTTTGTGAGTCCCTGTGGGCCACAGAGCGGCCAGCTGGGAAGGGGCTGGCTCAGAGCATCAGCAGCTGGGGGCTCAGGGTCTGCAGGGGCTCAGCAGGAAGTGGAGGAGGATAGTGAGGAGGGTCCTGGAGACTGTGCTTTGCTACTCCTATTGCCTTCGTTCAGCTGAAGGCGTGGGCAAGTGACTCTGCCCTCAGTTTCCCTCTGTGTAAAATGGGGGAGTAACAGGTTTGCAGTGGAGATTTAATGAGCCAGTGTGTAATGAGCACCTGCTGCCTGGCAAAGAGAGGTTCAGTTGCAGGTGGTGGTGGTGGTAGTGGTGATTTTATCATTGCCTTCATTAGTGTTACTGTTATTGGCTATGAGGTGTTCCTTCAGTAGTCTCCCTTGAGCATCTCTTGCATACATAGCACTGGAATTTCCTGGGTCTTTGGGAGCAGAATTTTGAAGATCTGGGCACTTCCTTAGCTATAAGGCCTTGCTTAACTGCCCCACCTCAGTTTCCTCATCTGTGAAATGGGTGTGCTAATAGTACCTACTTCCTAGAGTCATGGGAACCATGAATGAGTGAATTCACAGTGTCCAGAGTGGCTTGGTCAGGAGGAAGAGAAGAAGTAGCCTTGGGGCCGGAATGATCTTTTTTGTTGTGGGTGTTAGCTCTGCTGGCTTTCTTTCCTCATCCCCCCACCCCCACCCCCATGCCTCTCAAACCTGGGCCTGATCCTCCTTCTCCGATAAATAGAACTTTTGAGTACAAATCAGATCCCACAGGACTGCTGGGCCCTTGGATTTCTGGCTCCCGCTGTGCCACCCCCAGACATTCTCCATATCCCAGGTGGAGCAGAGCTGGAGGCACTTGGAGGGACCTCCTCGCTGCCAGTCTCAGTGCCACCTGTCTGTGGTGAGGGGAGACCGGGTGCCCTCCCCAGCCAAGGTGGGGAGGGTCAGTGAAGGGGGTCTCAGGGACATAGTAGGGAGCTGTCCCACAGTCTGGGCCAATACAGCTCCTTTTGCTGGAAACACCTTTGGGACCCAGTTTACATGACCCCACACCCTTCTGAGGGCTGGTGTTCATGAGGGTCTCCCATTGCTGGGGATCCTTGGGTTGATCACTTAAGCTCTCTGAGGCAATTGAGACAACATCTGTGAAAGGCTTTAACAGCTGTGCACTTGCTGTGACATGGCACATAAGGCACTGAGCGCTGAGCCTGGCACTCAATTAACAATAGTAGATATTATTGCTATTAATAAAACAAGAGGCTTTTCCTGCTAAATTCCCACTTCTCCCTGGTAGCAGTATGGACTTTGGGGCCAAATCTGGGCTCTGCCAGCTTCCAGGTGTGAGGTCCTAGGCAGGTTACCTGGCTTCTCTGATCTGGACCTCGCCTGCCCGATGGAAGCCAAGAGTTCCAGCCTCCCCAGGGTTGGGTGTGTGAAGTACAGTGTCAGGACTGGAACTGTGTTGGCTGTACTTGCTCTGGCTGTGTGATCTTGGGCTGGTCCCTTAGCCTCTCTGAGCCACAGGTCTTTTTGTCTATGAAATAGGGGGGTTGCCAACTCCCTGTTAGGGTGGTTTTGAGAAAAGGAGGCATGCACAGTGCCCGGCATGCAATTGGCACTCAATAAGTGCAAGCCATTGCTGTTCATGCCCAATAGGGGCTGGCACTTAATTGCCAGGTTTCCTGGGAAAACGGTCCCCAAGGGCCCGCGGGCGTTCAGCATCTTTGACGAGGCAGGGCAGGAAGCCGCTGCCGTCTGGCAGACCGGAGACGCCTGCCTCGGCGAGTCCAGAGGTGCAGTGCTAGCTGCTCATTCCCTGCAAGGCCCCATTCCTCACTACCCACCCTTCCCAAGGAAACTGAGGCGGGCAGGCTGCCCAGGGGAAGTGACTCAGCCGGGGTCACTTGCTGAGTCAGGCCTTATTGGACCCAGGAGTCCTGCACCCCACCTCCCCAGCTTCCCGGGGCTTGAGATCCCTTGGAGACTGAGCAGGTCCTGAGGCCTGGCAGCAGGACCAGGCCACCACTGGACATCTGCTCAATGGGGCCCTGCTGCCGGGGTGACAAGCATCCCTCTACCAGGGCTCCAGGGTTCTGCTGGCCACCACTAGCCATCCTTCCTCCCAGCAGGGGCAGAGGACACTTCCCCAGGGGAACAGGTCCTCCTGGTGCCCCCCCACTCCCCGCCCCAGCCGGAAACCCGGCAGCTGAGCAGTTAGATAGAAGATTTTTCCTCCCACGCCACCCTGTCAGGGGTCGGCCAGCAGGGCCGGGCCACAGGCTTCCTTGTGAGCCAGGCCTGGAGCCCCTGGGGGCCCACCCGGATGTGGCTACCCCCCGGCTGGCCAGTGGGGAGCCGGCTGCTGCCCAGGACATGTGTCCCCAGGGAGGCCTGGGAGGAAGGAAGTCTATGCCCTCCTCACAGGGGCTGACTCACAGGCGCCCAATGGGGGGCCCCAGCTGGGAGACTGGGAATGTGATCAATCAGGGAGGTGGACACACAAGGGGACCTCTGACATGGGATCTGCCCTTTCAGAGCTCACACACTGGTGTCATCTCAAGGAGGAGAGGCCCAGAGAGGGCAGTGTATGCTGCGAGAGGCGAGGTAATTGAGGGCTTACGCATGTCCCTCCTGATGTCCCCAAGTAGCACGTGGGGAGGAGGTTCACCCACAGGCTGCCCTCCTAGGGTCTCCCCTGTCTGCCCTCAACCCAGAGGCAGTGAAAGGAAGAAGCCACGGCCTTGGGATGGGGGGCGTGCGGGATTCTGATGGTGCTGCCTCTCCGCAGGGAGATGGTTCTTGGCTTTCCCTACCTCCTGAAACCTAGCTGGGGCGGTGGCTGGGATGTCAGGCTGGCGGTGTGGGCAGAGGAAGCCAGAGGACATTTCCTGTTCTGGCAGACTGTGCTGGCCTGATAAATGTCCCCGGGGCACAAGGTGACCCCAGCAAGGGTGCATCAGTGTCCAGCCAGCTGCCCCGTGGCCTGGGGTAGAACCCACCTCTCTGCCTCCCCAGGGACCCTGCCTTCGCCCCCTGCTTCCCGTGGGCATCTCTGCGTCTGGCAACTTGAATGCTGTGAAAGGGCAGCAGGCCGCCTGCCAGGCAGTGTGTGTCAGAATCCCACAACTCTCTGGGCCTCCTTAGGCCACAGGGTCTGGACTCTATGAACAGTTGGTGCTAGGCATGGGGAAGATAGAAATGTTCCTTGTGGCCTAGATTCAACCAGGAGGCCTCCCTGGAGGAAGTGTCCCCTCTGAAGGTGTGAGACTTCCTGCCTATATCTGTGAGCTGGGGCAGGGGAGAGTGGAGGCTCTGGACTGGCCCAATTTAACTTCATTTACCACACTTTAAGAAATCTTCCCCAGGCTGGGAGCAGTGGTTCACACTTGTAATCCCAGCACTTTGGAAGGTCAAGGTGGGAGGATCACTTGAGCCCAGGAGTTTGAAACCAGCCTGGGCAGCATAGTGAGACCCTGTCTCTACCAAAAAAAAAAAAAAAAAACTGGGTATGGTGGCACATGGCTGTGGTCCCAGATACTTGGAAGGACTGCTTAAACCCACAAGGTCATGGTTGCAGTGAGCTGTGATCATGCCACTACACTCCAGCCTGGGTGACAGTCAGACCTGTCTCAAAGAAAGAAAAAAAAAAAAAAATCCTCCCCAAGCCTCAGCAGGGGAATTCCTACCATGGATAAAGGCTTTCTCTGCATGTGGGCCTGATCATTAAAAGGAAAATTTCAGCCTCCCGAATTATACTATTATCCAGGGTGATTAGATAGAGGAGAGGCTGAGAAGCCCTGATCTCAGCGGGGCATGGATTAAGGGGACCCCACAGCTCAGCCAGGTTCCCAGCGATTCAAGGTCCTGCGATTTCTCACCGACTTGGTGGCTCCAGGGTGCCTGGGGCTGGCTGTGCTTCTTGGGGAGCACCAGGTACCACTGCTGCTTCGAGGCCCTCAATAGCCCTTTGGTGGACCCGGTTGTGTTCTGAGCTTGGGGTCCTGAGATGCAGACACCCCCCAGCCCCAGCTGGTGGGCGTGCAGCTAGCTGCCTTCATGTATTTGCTGCAGGGAGGGAATTGGGGGTGGGGGACAAGGATGCACCAGGCTGAGTTATTCCTTCTGCACATCATCCTGCCCCTCACCTGGCTGCAGGATTTGGGGAAACCCTGGAGACCCCCATAGCTGGGAGGTTCCTGCCCCAGAAGGAAGCCTGAGCAGGTGAGGGGGGTCTCCTGGGTGCTAGGGCCCCTCTGTGGGGAAGGTGGTTTATTTCTCTGGCTGACCAGGCTCCCCCGAAGCTCTGTGCTGGGATAGAAGTGTCCCAAAGACACCCTGCCCCCAACTCATACCCTACAGTCGAAGCCTGAGGGCCCCAGGTCCCCCTGGCGTGATCATCATTGCTTCCTGTCCACAGCTTGTCAGCCCCTGATCCCAGGGTTGTCACCATCTGATCAATTGCTTTTTCTCTGAGCCTGGCACATAGTAAGCACTCAATAAACGCCACTGCCTGGGCCAGGGTCAGGGAGGGATCCACCTTCCTGTGGCCTGGCTGCCCTCCTGGCCAAAAAACCTCCCTGGTACAGTCCCTTCCATAGCTTGGGCTACAGCTGACTGCTCTGGGCTGGCAACTTCCTGCCCGGAGCAGCCTGAGCAGCCGCCTCTCCCCTGAGAAGATCTTTTGTTCCAGCTCCCCATGACGCCCCGAGCCCAGCCCATGAGGCAGGCCCCCCTGTGGCTTCCCATGGCGGGCGAGCCTGACTCCGAGGCTGGAGCTCTTTTCTAACAGTGATAGTAAGAAAATAGCAGCAGCCACTTATGAGCCCCATGCCAAGCACACTGCAGACATCAGTTCTTTTTTTCTTATAGAGATATGGTCTGCTTCTGTCACTCAGGCTGGAGTGCAGTGGTGTGATCACAGCTCACTGCAGCCTCGACCTCCTGGGCTCAAGCAGTCTTCCCGCCTCAGCCTCCTGAGTAGCTGGGACTACAGGCCCAGCCACCATGCCAGGCTAATTTTTTTGTATTTATAGTAGACATAGGGTTTCATCATGTTGCCCAGCTTGGTCTCGAACTCTGGGGCTCAAGCAATCCTCCCGCCTTGGCCTCCCGAGGTATTGAGATTATAGGTGTGAGCCACTGAGCCCAGCCTCTCATTTTTGTTTTCTTCCTTTTGCCCTGTGACAGTTTTCCTGATCATTGGTGGGTTTGGGACCTGGACAGAGCTACTGCCGACTCCTGACTCCAGCTGGAGCTGAATGAGACTTTTATATTCTCTCCTCTGGGACTCACTCATTCATCCAATAAGCATTCATTGGGAAGTGAGCCCTTCTTGTGTGCATTTAGGCACTGATCAGACATTTTGGGGGTCCCTTCTGTGTGGGGGTCTCTATAATCACTAGCTATGGGGCCGCTCTGTTTCAGCTTCCCCATCTGTAAAATGGAAGTAATCGTTGGACCTACCTCCTAGGGCTGTTAGGAACCTTGGAAGAGGTAATATTTTGTAAAAGTAGTTAGAAAAATGCCTGATATGATCTTGGCATGGTGCCATGAGCCTGTAGTTACAGCTACTCTGGAGGCTGAGGCAGGAGGATCTCTTGAGCCCAGGAGTTCGAGGCAGCAGTGAGCTATGATTGTGCCACTGCACTCCAGCCTGGAAGACAGAGTGAGACCCTGTCTCTAAAAAGAGAAAGAAAAATGTCTGATGTGTAGCAGACGCTCAGTAAATGCCATTGTTCTTATGGGAGGACTGGTGGAAGGGGCCCAATGAGGGGGGTTCCCAGCCGTTGCCTGGGCAGTGAGGGACCTGGAGTGGGCGCAGCTGTTTTGAGGAAGGCTCCTGCCAGGGTTTGGCCCTGCAGTTGGGCTTCAAGACTCTGACATACAGGACTGTGCGGAAGGTAGGACGGCCCAGGGGGCGGGGGAGGTTGGTTCATGCTGGTTGCCACGCATCTGCCGGGAGAGCAAGAGTTTGCAAATCCAACTGATCTCTTGCATTCATATGTTCATTCATTCAAGAGGCATTCATTGAGCTCCTGCTGTATGCTAGGAGCTGGAGATGAAGCAGGGAATGACTCATGGAACTCAGTCTGTTGGAGAGATAGTCACTAATAAAAGCATCCTGTCAAGTGATAATGTGTGACCAGTGTGCTGAAGGTCAAGTTCAGTTGGGAGCTCAGAAGAGGCTTCTCTTATGTGCAATTGGAAGCAGACAGGGCAGAGGGAATGGCTCATGCCAACACCCACAGGCAGCTGGCGTGACTAGCGGCAGATCGTGTAGGTGGGGCAGGAGCCTGGGTCTGGAATCACAGCTCTCTGGGCATCCTCCAAGCCACGAGGGCAGCGCCTGTCTCACCTGTGTCAAGGCTGGGTGTGGGGAACAGTAGGATTGACCAAGAACAGGTGCCCTTATGCAGGGGTTAGACCCTCCCCCCTTCAGGGACAGGAAGAACATGGTGGCCAAGGGCAGATGTGGCCCCTCCCTCTCCCTTCCCATCTGCCTGACAGCTTTTAGTGACTACTTACTGTGTGCAAAGTACCTACTGTGTGCGGGTCCCAAGGACCCTGTGATGTACAAAACTGTCGACTGTAGCAGGGCACGGTGGCTCATGCCTGTAATCCCAGCACTTTGGGAGGCCAAGGTGGGAGGGCTGCTTGAGCCCAGGAGTTTGAGACCAGCCTAGGCAACATAGTGAGACCCCATCTCTACAAAAAATACAAAAATTAACCAGGTGTCGTGGTGTGTGCCTGTAGTCTTAGCACTTTGGGAGGCCAAGATGAGGATAGCTTGAGCCTGGGAGGTCTAGGCTGCGGTGAGCCATGATTATGCCACTGCACTCCAGCCTGGGTGACAGAACAAGACCCTGTCTCAAAAAAAAAAAAAAACATTGTCGACTCTGCATGGCCCCCTTCCATCGAGGGCAGAGGCACCTACTTGTGCTTTTTGGGGTTTCTTGTGGAGATCGGCTGTGGGGGTTCCACCATGGCCTCATGTGACAGGGGCACCCTTTGTTGCCACTGCCCTGCAGACATGCCCAGCGGGACATGGCCACATGCAGAGACGGTGCCTGTGGAGGGGTGTGTGGCAGAGAGAACCCCATTTGTAGGTTCGCATCTCCACCTTGCATTCCCTTTCATGGGTTCCTTACAAGGTGGATGCCATGCTGCCACCTGGTTGGCAGATGAGGAAATCCAGGTTCAGAGAGGTTGAGTCAGGCATCAGGAGCCACACAGCCAATACGTGTCCCCCTTTGTAATGTGAGCCCTGGGAGAGCAGTGTTCGTCTGTGCTGTTCACCGTGGTATCTCAGGGCCTAGCCTGGTGTCTGGCACACAGTAGGCCCTCAGTAACACCTGAAGAGAGGATGAAGGAGGGCGTGATTGGAGGCAGCAAATGTACCCAGGCCCCTGTGGCTCTGTAGCTTGTGTTGTGCAGCCACTACCCCTGCCCAGGGAGGGAGTCACTGGAGTGGCACTGCTGTTCATTCAGGGTGTGCTGATATCAGGGATCTGGGGCCCAGTTTTGTGCCTGAGTAGGGAGAGCATTTCTTCTCCATCTTGAAGAGCGACATGGATATGTGGTCTCCAGCAGGGGCCCAGGCCCAGCGAGGGTCAGGAGGAAGGAAGGATGGTGCCCACAGAGGTCCCAACTGTTCTGCACCGTGGACAGCAGAGGGGTGGGGGGTCTCAGTGCCATTCTGGTGATGTTGTGCCTAAGGAAAGGCCCTCTGGCCATGGGAGGAGAAGGATGCCCCAGTTGAGATGGGCAGGCAAAGGTCTGCTAGTCCTGAGGGTCCCCTGTCAGTGCAGGAAATCCCTCTGGACCCCCGTGACTTTTGTTAATTTATTCCTTTTTATTTTTTGTTTTATATTTATTTTTGTTTTTGTTTTTGTGTGTGTGATTTTTTTTTTTTTTTTTTCCAGGACAGAGTCTCGCTCTGTCACCCAGGCTGGAATGCAGTGGCATGATCTCAGCTCGTTGCAACCTCTGCCTCCCAGGTTCAAGTGATTCTCCTGCCTCACCCTCCCGAGTAGCTGGCATTACAGGCACACACCACCACACCCAGCTAATTTTTGTATTTTTAGTAGAGGCGAGGTTTCACCATGTTGGCCAGGCTGGTTTCGAATTCCTGACCTCAGGTGATCCACCCACCTAAGCCTCCCAGAGTGCTGGGATTACAGGTATGAGCAGCTGCCCCCGGCCCATTTATTTATGTATTTATTTATTTATTTATTTATTTAGAGACGGAGTCTCGCTCTGTTGCCCAGGCTGGAGTCCAGTGGCGTGATCTCGGCTCACTGCAAGCTCCGCCTCCCGGGTTCATGCCATTCTCCTGCCTCAGCCTCCCCAGTAGCTGGGACTACAGGTGCCTGCCACCACCCCCCGCTAATTTTTTTGTATTTTTACTAGAGATGGGGTTTCACCGTGTTAGCCAGGATAGTCTTGATCTCCTGACCTCGTGATCTGCCTGCCTCGGCCTCCCAAAGTGCTGGGATTACAGGCGTGAGCCACCGTGCCCGGCCCTATGTTTATTTTTTAGACACCAATAATATACTCTCACCGCAACATGGAAATAACAACAATGTCAGCCAGTCTTTATGAAGCATTTTCTACGTTCTAGGGCTTTACAGCTATCAATTCATGCTCATAATATGCCTATGAAGTAGGCATGATCATGGTTCCCCTCTTACAGATGGAGAAACTGAGGTAGAGAGTAATCATGTAAGTCACTTAAGGTCCCATAACTAATAAGTTGTTGCTGGTTTTTTTTTTGTTTTTTTGTTTTTTGTTTTGAGACGGGGTCTTGCTCTATCACCCAGGCTGGAGTGCAGTGGCACCATCTCAGCTCACTGCAACCTCCACCTCCTGGATTCAAGCATTTCTCCTGCCCCAGCCTCCCAAGTAGCTGGGACTACAGGCGCCCGCCACCACAGCCGGCTAATTTTTGTATTTTTAGTAGAGATGGGGTTTCACCACGTTGGCCAGGCTGGTCTCTAACTCCTGACCTCAAGTAATCCACCTGCCTCGGCCTCCCAGAGTGCTGGGATTACAGGCATGAGCCACCGCGCGTGGCTGGTGCTGGGATTTGAACCCACATTCCAGAATCTGTGTTCTTAGCCATCCTTGCTAGAGATAAGCAGTAACAGGCTTCTTGGTTACTTCCCCACCATCCCCACATCCCAATTCTGATTCCTCCCCAGAGGTACCCACTGTTTCAGGATGAGTTTGCTTCTGCCAGACCTTTCTTGCCCACCATTTACAAAATGTTTGTGTACACATAAACATTAGTAGTTTGGTTTTATGTATGTTCATGTAAATGGGATTGTCTAGGGTGTCTTGTTCTGCCGTTTGCTTTTTCGCTTAGTGAATAGCCCTGGAGCTCTCCCAGAGGTGGTGGGGTGGGTCTTCCTCACTCTTTCCCCCTGATGCAGTCTTCCAGCCTATAGATGGGCCAGATTCTTTCACTAGTCTCCAGCTGGTGGGCATTTAGGTTGTTTCTAGTTTTTCCCCATTATAAACGTTTTAGCAGGAAATATGTAGCAGGGAGCAAGTATTTCTCTTGAATACTTAAAAGTGGGATTCCTAGAGCCTGATTGCTCTGGCTAGGACTGTCAGTACTGTGTTAAATAGAAGTGACCAGAGTGGGCATCCTTTTCTCATCCCTGGCCTTAAAGGAAAAGTTGTCAACTTTTCACCATTAAGTACAATGTTAACTGTGTGCTTGTCATATAGGGCCTTTATTTTATTTATTTATTTATTTATTTATTTATTTTTTGAGACAGAGTCATTCTGTTGCCTGGGCTGGCGTTCAATGGCTGATCATGGCTTACTGCAGCCTTGACTTCCTCAGGCTCCCAAGTAGTTAGGACTACAGGTGCACGTGCTGCAATGCCAACTCATTTTTGTGTTGGTTTTTTTGGAGAGATGGGCTTTCACCATGTTGCCCAGGCTGGTCTCAAACTCCTGGGCTCAAGTGATCCTCCTGCCTCAGCCTCCCAAAGTGCTGGGATTACAGGCCTGAGCCTCCGACCTCAGCCTTTATATAGGGCCTTCAGTGTGTTGAGGTACAACATACCATCTATGCTTAATTTGTTGAAAATTTTTATCATAAAGATATGTTGAATTTTGTCAAATACTCTCTCTGCATCTATCGAAATGATCATATGGTTTTTGTACTTCAAAAGCAGGATTCCAGAGTCTAGAATCAATTCTGCCAAATTGGCCATGCCCCTTACAGAATGCCACTTGGTAGGGGAGTGCATGTTTCCCTGCATCTTCACCAGCACTGGGTGTTATGGTCGCGTTGGATTTCTGCTGTGGTGCCCGGTGTGTAATGGGGCCTACACCTGCTTGCCCACCTGCTTACTCCTTGTCGCCCCCCCACCCACGTGTCTTTCAGCCCGGCCGCACCACCTGGGTCTCCGCCATGAACGGGCCTGCCCTGCAGCCCTCCTCGCCCTCTTCCGCGCCCTCAGCCTCCCCGGCGGCGGCCCCGCGGGGCTGGAGCGAGTTCTGTGAGTTGCACGCCGTAGCGGCGGCCCGGGAGCTGGCCCGCCAGTACTGGCTGTTCGCCCGGGAGCATCCGCAGCACGCGCCGCTGCGCGCCGAGCTGGTGTCGCTGCAGTTCACCGACCTCTTCCAGCGCTACTTCTGCCGCGAGGTGCGCGACGGACGGGCGCCGGGCCGCGACTACCGGGACACAGGCCGTGGGCCCCCAGCCAAGGCCGAGGCGTCCCCGGAGCCAGGCCCCGGCCCCGCCGCCCCTGGCCTGCCCAAGGCCCGCAGCTCTGAGGAGCTGGCCCCGCCGCGGCCGCCCGGGCCCTGCTCCTTCCAGCACTTTCGCCGCAGCCTCCGCCACATCTTCCGCCGCCGCTCGGCCGGGGAGCTGCCAGCGGCCCACACCGCTGCCGCCCCCGGGACCCCCGGAGAGGCTGCTGAGACCCCCGCCCGGCCTGGCCTGGCCAAGAAGTTCCTGCCCTGGAGCCTGGCCCGGGAGCCGCCACCCGAGGCGCTGAAGGAGGCGGTGCTGCGCTACAGCCTGGCCGACGAGGCCTCCATGGACAGCGGGGCACGCTGGCAGCGCGGGAGGCTGGCGCTGCGCCGGGCCCCGGGCCCCGATGGCCCCGACCGCGTGCTGGAGCTCTTCGACCCACCCAAGGTAAGTAAGCCCTGCCCGCGGGGTTGCGCACTGCACTGCGCCCTTCGCCTTCACCCTGGGGAGAGCGCGGGCTGGGGAGGTGTGATGGCTTTCCAGCTGGTGGCCACAGAGTGTCCAGAGGGAACTAGGCCCTCTTAAAAAAGAACTTTTAGGCCGAGTGCAATGGCTTATGCCTGTAATCCCAGCACTTTGGGAGGCCGAGGCAGGAGGATCGCTTGAGCCCAGGACTTCGAGACCAGCTTGGGCAACTTAGCGAGACCCTATCTCTATAAAAAATTAGCCAGGTGTGGTGGTACGTGCCTGTGGTCCCAGCTGTTCGGGAGACTGAGAAGGGAGGATGACTTGAGCCCAGGAGGTGGAGGCTACAGTGAGCCGTGATCATGCCAACACACTCCAGGCCTGGGTGACGGAGTAAGACCCTGTCTCTAAATAAATACAATAAAAAAGAACTTTTTATTTTAGAATTTTAGATTTACAGGCCAGGTGCAGTGGGTCACGCCTGTAACCCCAGCACTTTGGGAGGCCAAGGTGGGCAGATCATTTGAGGCCAGGGGTTCAAGACCAGTCTGGCCAACATAGTGAAACCCTGTCTCTACTAAAAATATAAAAAATTAGCTGAGCACAGTGGCGCACGCCTGTAATCCCGGCTACTTGGGAGGCTGAGTCAGGAGAATCACTTGAACCTGGGAGGGAAAGTTACAGTGAACTAAGATTGCACCACTGTATTCCAGCCTTGGTGACAGAGTGAGACTCTGTCTCAAAAAAAAAAAAAATGTTTAGACTTACAGGAAAGTTGCAAAGATAGTAGTGTTCCTTTACACATGGTACCCAGCTTCACCGAAGGTTCACATCTTACGCTGCTGTGTACATTGGTTGTAGCTAAGGAACCAGCACGGGTACATCACTATTAGCTAAACGCCACTGTTCCTTTGGCTTTGCCAGTTTTCCTCTAATGTCCCTTTTCTGTTCCAGCTCGCCCCCCAGGATACCACATGAGGTTTAGTCGTTACGTCTCCTTAGGCGCCTCTTGGCTGTAACAGTTTCCAACCCTCTATTGCTGATAGCCTTGGCAGTTTTGAGGAGTACCAGTCAAGGATTTTGTACAATGTCCAGGGACACCTTTTTGCCTTCACATTTGGGTGTCATGTGGGCTGGTAGCAGGTCACTCTGAGATCCTTGAAAACTCTGACTCAGACTGGCATTGACAGATTGGTGTTTTATTTCCAGAGGGCTCAAAACCTTCAGAGAATTTCTCTGCACCTCCTGTGCCTTGGTGATATTTTGCAAGTTAAAAAGAATTTGTCCTTTGGCAAAACCCCATTGCTACAAAAAATACCAAAATTAGCTGGGCGTGGTGGTGTACGCCTGTGGTCCCAGCTACTCTGGAGGCTATGGTGGGAAGATCGCTTGAGCCCAGAAGACCAAGGCTGCAGTAAGCCAAGATCGCACCACAGCACTACAGCCTGGGTGACAGAGCGAGACCCTGTCTCAAAAAAAAAAAAAAAAAAAAAAAAGTTCTTTTCCTTCACAGCTGGCTTAATTCCTACTGTGCTGTTGAGGCTGAAAGGTCACTGTGTTCTACTCACCTGCCAGGCTCCATCTTTGACTCAGGTATGCATGACAGGACCATATGGCTTTCATCTAATTGCTCTCTCTTTGGGATCCTGTTACGTGGTAGGGCCTTACTCTAGAGCATGAGCAAAACCGATGTGATACTGGCCCTGAGGGGCTCACGATGTGGGTGGAGGAAACCTATGGTTACTCTTTCATTCATTCGACAGATATTTATGGAGCACCTACTATGTGTTAGGCACATGCTAGGTTCTGGGGGACCAGGCGGGCCTAGTGGAGGCTGTTGAGGAAATAAACCCACAGATGAGCATGGAATTAAAAATGGTAAATTGTGTTCTAAAACTGGTAAACTGTGTTCTAAAGGAAAAGCAATGGGGTCTCTGGGAGGATAACTGAGGGGTCCCGGTTTGGCGGTTTGGGAGAGTCATCCAAGAATCCTTTGAAGTAACGTTTTCAAACTGACTGTGGCGTAACATGCAGACCTGGAAGTGCGTGAAGTATGAGACACATCTGAAGCTCTGTGTTTCCGTGTGTGTGCAACGCAAGTGACCAGCACCCCAGAGGGCTCCTTCATGCCTCCCCCAGGCCAGTGCCCTGTACCCCCATACATACCACCTCTTATCACCACAGGTTCGATTTCTCTGTTCTTGAACATCATGTGAATGGAATCACACAGTAGGTTGCCTTTGTTTTATTTTATTATTTTATTTTGAGACAGGGTCTCACTGTGTCACCTAGGCTGGAGTGCAGTGGTGTGATCATGGCTCGCTGTAGCCTCAACCTCCCAGCCTCAGGTTATTTTTGTGCCTCAGCCTCCCCAGTAGCTGGGATCACCGTCACGTGCCACCACTCCCAGCTAATAAATAGGTTGCCTTTTATTTCTGGCTCCTTTTGCCCAGCATAATGTTTTAGAGATTGATCACATTGATCGTACATGTCAATAGTGTCTTCCTTTTTTTTTTTTTTTTTTTTTTTTTTGAGACAAGGTCTCGCTCTGTCACCCAGCTGGAGTGCAGTGGCTCGATCTCAGCTTACTGCATCCTCTGCCTCTTGTCCTCCTGGGCTCAAGCAGTCCTCCCACCTCAGCCTCCCGAGTAACTGGGACCACAGGCACGTGCCACCACACCTGGCTAATTTTTGTATTTTTTGTGGAGATGGGATTTCACCATGTTGTCAAGGCTGGTCTCGAACTCCTGGGCTCAAATGGTCCCCCCACTTCGGCCTCCCAAAGTGCTATGATTACTGGCATGAGCCACCACGCCCAGCCGGGTTTGTTTCTTTTGAGTACTGAATAGATTCCATTGCACAGCTGTCTCCATGTCCCACAACTGGTTTATCCCATCCTCTGTTGATGAATATTTGGGTTGTTTCTATTTTGATTTATGAATAAGGCTGTTATGAAGTTTGCATCTAAGTCTAAATATGGACACACATCCTTTCATTTCTCTCAGGTGGATTCCTAGAAGTGGCATTGCTCAGTCATAGAGTAGGTACATGTTTACTTTAGAGAAATTGCCAGACTTTTCCCAAAGCAGCTGCACCATTTTGTGTCCCACCGGCAGTGGGCGAGAGTTCCGGGTGGTTCCACTTCCCCACCAACACTTGAGCACTTGGTGGGTTTTTTTGTGTTTTGTTTTGTTTTTGTTTTGAGACGGAGTCTCGCTCTGTTGCCCAGGCTGGAGTGCAGAGGCACAATCTCGGCTCACTGCAACCTCCGTCTCCTGGGTTCAAGCTGATTCTCCTGCCTTAGCCTCCCAAATAGCTGGGATTATAGGCGCGTGCCACCACACCCAGCTGATTTTTGTATTTTTAGTAGAAATGGGGTTTCACCATGTTAGCCAGGCACTTGGTGTTAAGAGTCACCGGTGGCTGCGTTCCTGGATCTCAAGGTGGCTTTACTTTGCGTTTCCCTGATGACTCATGGAGGTTAAGCACCTTTTCATATGTTGATTGGTCATCGGAATTTGGTCGTTTGTGAAGTACATGTTTTTATTGTCTGTCTAGCCTTTTTTAAATTGATTTGTAAAAGTCGTTATATATTTTGGACAATTTCTTTGCGTTTTAAAAGTCATTTCCTACCTTTATGGCCTGGCTTTTCATGAAAAGCAGTTTTGTTTTTTTTTTTTCTTGAGATGGAGTCTCACTCTGTTGCCCAGGCTGGAGTGCAGTGGCGCAATCTCGGCTCACTGCAACCTCTGCCTCCTGGGTTCAAGTGATTCTCCTGCCTCAGCCTCCCGAGTAGCTGGGATTACAGGCGCATGCTACCACGCCTGGCTAATTTTTTGTATTTTTAGTAGAGATGGGTTTTCGCCATGTTGGCCAGGCTGGTCTTGAACTCCTGACCTCGTGATCCACCTGCCTCAGCCTCCCAAAGTACTGGGATTACAGGCGTGAGCTACCTCACCTGGCCTCAATTTTTGTATTTTTAGTAGAGATGGGGTTTCACCATGTTGGCCAGGCTGGTCTTGAACTCCTGACCTCAGGTGATCTGTCCGCCTCGGCCTCCCAAAGTGCTGGGATTACAGGTGCGAGCCACCACGCCTGGCCAGGAGGTCACTTACTTTCATTCTAAGTAAATCACTGGGCCTTCCAGGCAGAGGGAACAGCATGGGCAGAGACCCTGAGTGGGGAATGTGTTTAGCATGTTTTGAAGAAAGGACAAGATGAAGAGGCCGGTGTGGTGGGAGCAGAGAGAGGGAGATGGGGAGCGGGGAAGTACATGTGGGTGGAGGACACTGGGAACGGGAGGACTTAGTGTTTTATTCCAAGCACAATCAGAAGCTGTTGGGAAAACGCAAGCACAGATAAAAAACGGTTTTCTCATCATTTGTTAAAAATCTCAAGGCTGTGACACCATGAAAGACAAATAACGGCCCCAATACATGATCTTATCTGTGTGACACTGTAGGGTTTTTATTTTTTTATTTTTTATTTTTTTGAGACAGAGTCTTGCTCTGTTGCCCAGGCTGGAGTGCAGTGGCACGGTGTCAGCTCACTGCCAGCTCCGCCTCCCGGGTTCATGCCATTCTCCTGCCTCAGCCTCCCGGGTAGCTGGGACTACAGGTGCCCGCCACCACACCTGGCTAATTTTTTTGTATTTTTAGTAGAGATGGGGTTTCACCGTGTTAGCCCGGATGGTTTCGATCTCCTGACCTCGTTATCTGCCCGCCTCAGCCTCCCAAAGTGCCGGGATTACAGGCGTGAGCCACTGCGCCCGTCCAGGGTTCTTAACTTTGAAAAACAACCTCAGTGGCTGGGCGCAGTGGCTCATGCCAGTAATCCCAGCACTTAGGGAGACCAAGGCAGATTACCTGAGATTGGGAGTTCGAGACCAGCCTGGCCAACATGGTGAAACCCCATCTCTACTAAAAAATATCTTGGTGGCCAAGCGTGTGGCTCATGCCTATAATCCCAGCACTTTGGGAGGCTGAGGCAGGTGGATCACCTGAGGTCAGGAGCTCGAGACCAGCCTGACCAACATGGTGAAACCCCGTCTCTACTGAAAATACAAAATCAGCCTGGTGTGGTGGCACATGCCTGTAATCCCAGCTACTACGGAGGCTGAGGCAGGAGAATCACTTGAACCCAGGAGGCGGAGGTTGCAGTGAGCTGAGATCGTGCTACTGCACTCTAGCCTGGGTGACAAGAGCGAAACTCCATCTCAAAAAAAATAAGTGAATATATAAAAAATAAAAATAATCTTGGAAGACCAGGTGTTGGGAGCCAGCTGGCCCTGGGTTTGAATAATGAATAAGCTGCTTTCTCAGCTCTGGGGCAAGTGGTATCACCTTTCTGAGACTCAGTTTCCCCCTCTGTACATTGGGGAGTACTCATAGTTCCTACCCCATAGGGCTGTGTGTCTTGGTGGGGAGAGCGCATGTGCCACGTGCCTGGCGCTGGGAGCACTCCATGAGTGCTGTGTTGCTGTTGCCACGGTTGTTGTGGTTTGTTATGGTTTTGACTTCGGGCGGAGAGCCCAGGTTTATTTCCAGTGCTTGCTGGGCCCTCAGGGGAAGGCATCCCCAAGACTCCTGTTCTCTGGGAGCCCTGATGGTAGGGCCCCATCAGATTCCCTAGGGCTTTTCCCAATCCAGGGAACCAGGGAGGTCCCAGAGGGCTTTGCCGTAGCCCTGGCTGGCTGGGGCTCTGTCACAGGCTTGGTGGTTGCTGCGGGGCCTGGGGTGTTGCCTGCAAAGCAAGCAGCCCTGGGGAGGCTTCTCCTAGCCCCTCGGAGCATCAGGTGGAACAGTCCGGGCGGCTCAGGAGCATCCCCTCAGTGAATCTGTGTCCAGGTGATGGGCCAAGGGTGCTCAGACCACAACTCTTGCATGTGCTTGCCAGGTAGTCAACTGTGATCCCTGACCTCTGACCCAGGGGTTGGCTCTGGGAACAGTTTTAAACAAAAGGAAAAGAAAGTTCTGACAACCAGTGGGTGGTGGCGAAGGGCTTAAGCTTTGGATCTGCACTTGCGGTCTGTCACTTAAAGGGTGCCCTGCAGGAGAGGGAGCAGATGTAATCCCAGTGCCAGCCTGGTGGAGGCCCTGCTGCCCAGGGCTGGAAGAGGCTTTGGAGGGAGAGAGCCAAGAGAAGGCAGCTGCCCAGAAGTCTGAGGCCAGGTGGGCTCAGCCCACAGGTGAGCCTCACCTGCAGTTGGGCCCCAGCTCTGCCCCCGACCTGCTGTGTGACCGCGGGCCTGTGGAGCAGGGTGATGGTGTAGCACCTCCAGGGGCACTATGAGGGCTGCGCTGGGAGAGAGCACTCTGTGACTGGGGGTGTGCAAGGGGAGGCCACAGTCTGCCAGGGGTGGGGGTGTGGGTGGAGGAGATGTCTGTGTTTTCCAAGGTCAGGAGAAGGGGAGAAAAGTCCCAGCTTTCTCTGGTCTCAGTGGCCACTGCAGGTGGGCAGCGTGGGCCCTTGGGAGGTGGGAGGGGGCTGCCTTCCCTGGGGTTGGTCAGCAAAGGCCTCTTGGCAGGAGGTGCCGGTCCTGATAGATCTGGGTGAAGGAGTCCCAGGCTGAGGAATGGCAGGTTCACAAGCCCTGCAGTGAGCGTGAACCAGGCAAGTCTGTGGAATAGCCAGGCAGCCTGGGGTTCGAGGGAACAGGGAAAGGTGAGACTACAAAGGTAGTGGAGCTGGATTGCAGAGGCCCTTGTGGGCCACAGTGGGGACTTTAGGTTTTACATTAAGAGCAGTGGGAACAATTGGAGGATTTAGGCCTAGAGGGCCTGAGACACTTGCTGGGGCCACCTGCGGGTGGGAGTGGGTGCAAGGGACCCTCCAGGCTACCTGTGGTCTCCCAGCTCAGGCCCGCGATGGGAGAGTATGACATGATTTCCTCTAGAGACCTCCTTCCCCTGGGCACCGCTGAGCCCCAGGCAGGGCAAGGACAGGGGAGCAGTGTGTTTATGTGGGGGAAAGGTGACATGCCTTTCATCACCCATCATCGGGCTCACGACCGACACTCTTGCAACAAGACAGGTCAGCAAGAGAAAAGCATCACAAAGTTATTGAATCAAAGTTTTATGTGACATGTAGCTTTCAGGAATGAAGACCGAAAGACCCCAGGAAATGGTCTGTCTGGTGTTTAGGTTTGATGGAGCAGGGATAGCTGCGTAAAAATGGGATTGGGATGAAAGGGTGTGATCTACTGAGCTAGACGGAGGCGGGGTCCCAGCAAGGCCTGCTTGCTCCCATTCCTCTTGGCCTCTGCATGGTGTTCCTTCCTCCCAGTGTAGGGCAGGACCTCTCTGGAACTTACAACCTGCCTCCCTCAGACAAGGTAGGTTGGAGAATTTCTCTGTGGATGGCTCCTACCCAGGAAGGTAGGGGAAGGTTAGAGTTATATTTCTAGGTTTTATGGCTGGCTTTCAGGGAGAGGGGTTCTAGATTCTATGACCCACCTTGAGGAAGAATTCTGGTTCCGTTTTTCTTTTATCTTTTTTTTTTTTTTTTTGTTAAGAGAGATGGGGATTTGCTATGTTGCCCAGGCTGGCCTCAAACTCCTGGCCCTAAGTGATCCTGCTGCCTCGGCCTCCCAGTGTTGGGATTACAGGCGTGAGCCACTGTGCCCAGCCGCCTAGTTTCTATGACTCACTTCAGGGGAGAAGGAGGGTGAGAGAGACAGGAAGGCAGAAGGAGGTGAGAGAGACTTTGCTTCTGAGGGCCCCTTCTGAGCCCTTCTAGTCTTCTTTAGTTCAAGTACGTAGCATGCCACAGCACCTTTCTTTGGGGTGTTGTTTTCTGAGCCCCAACATTCATGGCCCTGAATGTGTGCCTCTGTGTGCCAGGTGTTGCCCTAAATTCTTGGACCTTCCCATGAGCTGGAGTTCACTGACCCATTTGACAGATGAGGAAACTGAGGCACTG
This sequence comes from Homo sapiens, assembly GCF_000001405.40. NCBI lineage: Eukaryota > Metazoa > Chordata > Mammalia > Primates > Hominidae > Homo > Homo sapiens. Next base: position 111,426,816 of record NC_000012.12, read on the forward strand.
GGAGAAGCAAAGAGACTTGCCTGGGATCATGAAGTGAAGGGGATCTGAACCCTGAGACAGGAACTCTTGATCCCAAGGGGCCCCTAACCCCAAGCCCTTGGCCCCCTGCTGAACTGGTTCAAACCAGAGAGTGTATAACCCAGCTCCAGGCTGGGCTGGGCCTGAGGTGTGCGTCTCACCTGGCAGTTACAAGAAAAGGAAATTGCACTGGTTGCCACATTTACAACCTAAAGTGGAGAGATTTCACAGAATCCAGACTTCTGGTTTCTCTTATGGAATCCGGGGATCGGCCGGGCACGGTGGCTCATACCTGTAATCCCAGGACTTTGGGAGGCGAAGGCAGATGGATCACTTGAAGTCAGGAGTTCAAGAGCAGCCTGGCCAACATAGTGAAACCCAGTCTCTACTAAAAATACAAAAATTAGCTGGCCACAGTGACGTGTGCCTATAATCCCAGCTACTCGGGAGGCTGAGGCAGGAGAATCACTTGAGCCCAGGAGGTGGAGGTTGCAGTGAGCTGAGATTGCACCGTTGCACTCCAGCCTGGGCGACAGAGCAAGACTCCATCTCAGGAAAAAAAAAAAAAAAAAAAAAAAAAAAAAATCAGAGGATCTGGCGGTGCCAGGCCGGCATTGGAGGGGGTCCCAGCCTGGCCTGTGCTGCCACTGGTTCAGCAGTAGAGCCTGACGGGGAGGCGACAGCAGTGGGGGCCCTGGGGAAGGAGAAAGATTCCAGAAGCAGCTGCTAGGCTGGAGTAGCTGGCCTTGGGCCCCAGACCTTCCCGGGGAGGTGGGGCTCCCATTTCAAATGGAGCATGCCCAGCCTGCCGGGCCTCAGTTTCCACATATGCCCAGGCATGGATTAGCTGAGATGGTCTTGAAGTCCTGCCAGCCCTGGTGGTTCTGGAGGTTGAGCCTCAGTTTCCCTCATCTGTACAGTGGAGGACATGATGGAGTTCTAGCTGTTGATAAATGCCCTTTAAACCACCATTTATTGGGCTTTCCTTATACAGCAGGCACTTTACTGACCTGGCTTCATTTTATCTTCACAGCAGCCCTGTGAGGGTAGCTGCGCCATTAGGCCCATTTCACAGATGGGGAGACTAGGTCTGAGAGAGCTTAGGTGGCTTTCCCAAGGTCTCACAGCCCCTGTGGCTGAGAGGGGCTTGGAACCTGGGCAGTTGGCTGCCCCTGTGAGCAGTGAGTCCTTAGAAGGACTTACTGTCAGTATTATTGATGGCACTGTTAACTAGGGCCCTGCATGGGTGGGGGCACCTGTTTTGGGCTCTTGGACTAGGAAAAGCTCCTGTGGCCATTTTATCCAATGCCACCATTTTATAGATGCCAACACCGAGGCCTGGAGGGGGCTGGCCAGCGCCCCTCACCTGGCACAGAGGACTCTGCCTGGCACATCCCACCCATGGCCTCTGATGCCCAGCTTGGAGAAGTGGTAGAAGAGGGGCTGGGGGATGCCTCAGGGGGACTTAGCCCTCAGCCCTGAGCCCCCCGCTGCATCACAGGCCTGAGTGCCCAGGAGGCAGTGGTCTGGGTAGGAGTGGCTGCGACTCGGGGGTAAATGTGCTTCAGAGCCATCCCCACTCATCCCCTTTCGAGCCAGGTGTCCCTGGTGTGTGACTTGGCCTTGCTGGGCCTCAGTTTTCTGTAAAATGGGAAGTGTCATGGGGGGCAGGCTACGGTAAGCACTGATAGGGCAGGTGAGGGGCAGCCTCGGGCCCACCCTTCTGGCAGGAGACATTTGGGGCACCCAGAAGCCCTGGAACAAGGCCACTCTGACCTTGATTTTGGGAGCACAAAGTCCCCCCAAGAGATAGCACAGGAGCCCGGGTGTCTGATGAGTGACCCATCCCTTGGGGGCCTCAGTTCCTGGGTGTGCCTGGGTCTGCAGGGGAGGCAGAGGCACAGGTGGGCAGCTCCCTCTGGGTGGGCTGTGACCCTGCCTGGGCACAGGAGGGCCGTGCCCGTCCGTCCTTGCCGTGATTCTTCCAGGTGGCACCGCCCTCACACCTCCTTTACAGAGGAGGAAACTGAGACCCGGGGAGGCCACAGGAGTCGGGCTCTGGGCCCAGAGCCTGGGCGGGGATGCAGGAGCCACCCCCATGCCTCCGGGTGTGGGAAAGGGGAAGCAGAAAGAAAGGGACGTCCGCCGGAGGCCTGGCGGTTTCCTCTCGGGGCAGGAGTGCGAGGAGGAGGAGGAGGAGGAGGAGGAGGAGGAAGAGGAGGAGGAGGAGGAGGAGGGACGGCAGGAAGCCGCCTCGGGCTCTGACAGGCGCGGCCCTGGCCTGCCCCTGCCCTTCTGAGCCTGTGACCCGGGGGAAGGCACTTTGCCCTCCCTGTGCCTCAGTTTACTCAAGTAAAAATAGCTGAATGATGGCTCTGGCCCCAGGATCAACTGAGTGCTGTCTGGGAAGCACCTAGAGCTGTGCCCAACACAGCCAGTGTTCGCTGGGGCCTGCAAGGCTTTGCTGCTGCAGGCATCACTGGCGTTGTCATTTTTATTTATTATTTATTTATTTAGAGACAGAGTCTCGCTCTGTCGCCCAGGTTAGAGCAGAGTGGTGTGATTTTGGCTCACTGCAACCACCGCCTCCAGGGTTCAAGCAATTCTCCTGCCTCAGCCTCCCGAGTAGCTGGGATTACAGGCGCCCACCACCACACTCCGCTAATTTTTCTGTATTATTAGTAGAGACGCGGTTTCGCCATGTTGGCCAGGCTGGTCTCGAACTCCTGACCTCAGGCTGTCCATCTGCCTCGGCCTCCCAAAGTGCTAGGATTACAGGCGTGAGCTACCGCGCCCGGCCCATTTTTATTAATTGGTTTTCATGTGACAGGCACTGTGTCCGCCACATCCCATGGAATCCTTATCACAAACCCCGGAGGTGGGGACAGTGATGAAGCCATTTCACAGCCAAGAAAACTAGGCACAGAGAGGTCCAGAAACTTGCCCGAGGCCCCAGAGCTGGTAGGTGGCCAAGGCAGGAAATGAGAGTCCCTGGTGGGTCTGCCAAGGCCGGGGGGCACCAGGGGCAGGGGGTTTGTGTTTAGGCCCCAGAACAGGCAGAGAGAAAGCACCCACCCTCCACCGTCAGAACGAGCCTGTATCCCGGCAAGCAGGGCAGACTGAGCCCTGGTCTTGGCAGGCAGGCAGAGCTCAGGTCCTGGCGGGCACACAGGCTTAAGAAGCCGGTTTTTTCCTGGGCCCACGTCTCCTGGGGGACCAGCGGCAGAGGCTCCTGGGGTAGGAACGGAGGTCCCATCCTCACTCTGTCCTGGGCTGCCATGTGACCCAGGTAGGTCCCAGTCCTCTCTGAGCTATGAAGTGGGTGCCTGCAGTGGCCTTCTGGGAGTGATGGGGAAGGCGGAGGGGGTTGGGCAGGGCTCCTGCGGCCCCAGCCACACACACTGCCGCCCCATCTGCCCCCTTATTGGGGTTCCATGCAAAATCGTTTTTGAAAAAGTGCTTTGCCGCTTAGAAGAAACCCCCGACCGCGCTGAAACCACGGGGGCAGATGGTATCGGGGCGCTTCCTTTCAGCTCAAATTCTGCGAATCCACAGCCTAGAAAGTGCCCTGAATCCAACAAGGGGGGAGGTAATTAAGTTATTATGGTCCATCCCCACCCCGTCCTGCTTACCAGGCCTGGCTGCTCTTACTGGCTTCTTGGAAGTTGGTGTGGTATTTTTTTGTTTTGTTTGTTTTCGAGGCTGGTATTGAGATGAGACCATTGTGGGGTCAGGGCTGTGGGCTTGGAGGTTCAGGGTCAGGGTCCAGGGGCGAAGGGTGGACGCTGGAGAAGGGCAGATGGACAGGGTCAGGTTCAGATCTTGGCTCTTGTATCCTTGCTGTGTGGCTCTGGGCCAAGAACTTGGCCTCTCTGCGCCTCAGTGGCTCATTACAGAAAATGGGATGCCAGCACTTGCCTTAGTGGGTTGTTTTGAGCCAACTGCAGGCTCAGGGAGTAGCTGGCATGATGTGTTCCTACCCTGAAGGGCAGAAAAAGGGGAAGGAGGCCACCAGATCCCACAGGTGGGTCCCCAGGGTCCCTCCCCGGGATGGGCAGCAGCCTGGCTGCTCCCCACAGCAACCCCTGGCTGGCCCCATTGGCGCTGCTGGAAATCCCCCACCCAGTTCTTTGTGAATGGAAAAGGAAACTGATTGCGCTAGAAGAGGTCTCCGAGTGCCGGCCGGGGGTGGGTGGCGGGGGGGGCTTCCTCTCCCAGTGCAGGAGGGGCCACCTCAGCTTCCTTTCTGGGGCCCCATACCCCCTTTTTCCTATCTCCCCTCTGAGTTGAGGAGGAGGCTGTGGCCCCCGCCCACTGTTTGGCCTCTGGAACCACTGGGTGACAGTGTACATCGGGGCGATTAAGGGCCACCTGGCCTCTGGACCTCCCTCGCTGTGGCTGCTGCCTGGGACCCCCCACCCCATGCCTGACTCGAACCCCAACCTCAGCTCTACACACAGGGGCACCACTGTAGGAGGAGAGAGAAACCTCTCTCTAGGGAACCACCTGGAAGGGGGCCCTGCCCTGTCTTCATCTGGGTACCCCATGTAATCTAGGAAACTGTCTTTAACTTGCCGAGGGCCTCCATGTCTGAGTTCCTAATGTTTTTTATTTTGCTTTTTCAATTAATAAAGCTCATGGCAGAAACTATTTAAAGAAAAAAAAAAACAGTAACAGAAAAACCTCCCACAATCTCACTACCCAGAGAGAACCAGCATTTCCATTTTGGTAGATGTCATTATTGTCATTTTTGTTTTGTTTTTGAGACTGGGGGACACTGCTCTGTCCCCCAGACTAGAGAGCAGTGGCGCCATCTCGGCTCATTGCATCCTCAACCTCCTGGGCTCAAGGTGATCTTCCCACCTTAGCCTCCCAAGTAGCTGGGACTATTTAATGCTGCTATTAGCATAGACATTAGCAGGACACCATGCCCTGCTAATTTTTAAGTTTTTTTGTAGAGACAAACTCTCACTATGTTGCCTAGGCTGGTCTTAAACTCCTAGGCTCAACAGTCCTCCCGCCTAGGTCTCCCAAAGTTCTGGGATTTACAGGCGTGAGCCACCACCACACCCAGCCTCTTCTCTGTCTTTAACTTTGCCTCCGCCTCCAAATTCCAATTCCTTCAGCAATTGCTGGGAAGGGATTACTTTTTGCACAATTCTGTCTGGAGCCCCTTGCAGGCAGGAGCTTGTGGACAAAAGCTTCAGCCTTTGCGGGCCTGGCATTCCTCATACTATTTGGTCACCTGCTTTTTTCACTTTGTGTCCTGAACATTTTTCTGTATTCTTTTTTTTTTTTTTTTCCACCTCCTAGGTTCAAGCGATTCTCGTGCCTCAGGCTCCCGAGTAGCCAGGATTACAGGCATGTGCCACCACGCCCGGCTAATTTTTGTATTTTTAGTAGAGACGGGGTTTCACCATGTTGGCCAGGCTGGTCTCGAACTCCTGACCTCAGGTGAGCTGCCTGCCTCAGCCTCCCAAAGTGCTGGGATTACAGCCACCGCGCCCAGCCCATTTTTAACTTTTTTGCTGGTATAGATGACCCTGGGATGAACACCTTATGTCAGTCTTGGTGCCCACTTCTGATGATTTTCTTCTGCTCAGTTCCTAGAAGGGGAGTGCTGGGTCAAGGCTTTTATGAGCACTTCTGATCCGTTCTTGCTCTCAAAGCTTTATTGAGATATAATTTACAAACCATAAAATTCGCTTGTGTAAAGCGTATAATTCATTGGTTTTTAGTATATTTACAGAGTTGTGCAACCCTCACCATAATCTAATTTTAGAACATTTTCGTCATCAAAAAAGGAAACCTTGTACCCATGAACAGTCACTCCCCATACCTCCCTCCCCAGCCCCTGGCAACCACTCATCTCTTTTCTGTCTCCAGGGATTTACCTATTCTGGACATTTCACATATGTGGAATCAGACTATGCAGCCTTTTGTGTCTGGCTTCCTTCACTTAGCATCATGTTTTCCAGGTTCACCGAAGTTACAGCATGTATTTTGTTCCTTTTTATGGCTGAAAAATACTCCATTGTATGGACTTGCCACATTTTGCTTATTTGTTTATCACTTAATAGACATCAGGTTATCTCCACTTTCTGGCTGTTATGAATAATGCTGCTATGAACATTCGTGGACAAGTTTTTGTGTGGATCTGTGTTTTCATTTCTCTTGGGATACATCTAGGAGTGGAATTGCTGGGGCATACAGTAATTCTATGTTTAATTACATTGGGCTGGGCACGGTGGCTAACGCCAGTAATCCCAGCACTTTGGGGGGCTAAGGCAGGTGGATCACTTGATGTCAGGAGTTTGAGACCAGCCTGGCCAACATGGTGAAACCCTGTCTCTACTAAAAATCAAAAATTAGCTGGGCGTGGTGGTGGATACCTTTAATCCCAGTTACTCAGGAGGCTGAGGCAGAAGAATCACTTGAACCCAGGAGGTGGAGGCTGCAGCGAGCCAAGATCATGCCATTGCACTCCAGCCTGGGAAACAGAGAGAGACTCTGACTCAGAAAAAAAAATGACTATATATAAAATAAATATGACTGCCAACCTGTTTTCTGAAGCAACTGTACCATTTTATATTCCCACCATCATTGCGTGAGAGGACTCCAGTTTCTCCATGTCCTTGCCAATATTTGTTATTGTCTGTCTTCTTGATTGTAGCCATCCCAGCCATCTTAAAGGGTGTGAAGTAGTTTCTCAGTGTGGTGTTTTTTTTGTTTGTTTGTTTTAAACGGGGTCTTGTTCTGTCACCCAGCCTGGAGTGCAGTGCAGTGGAGTGCAGAGGCAGCTCACTGCAGCCTCAAACTCCTGGGCTCAAGTGATCCTCCCACCTCAGCCTCTTGAGTAGCTAGGATTACAGGCACACACCACCACACTCAGCTAATTTTTGTTTTTCACTACACTACGTGATGTGGTTTTTTGTTTTGTTTTGTTTTGTTTTTGTTTTTTGAAGAGCTGGGGTTTCACCATATTTCCCAGGCTGGTCTCGAACACCTGGATTCAAGCAGTCCTCTCACCTCAGCCTCCCAAAATGCTGGGATTACAGGTGTGAGCTACCGGGTTTAGCCTCAGTGTGGTTTTGATATGCATTTCCCCAATGGAAAATGGTGTTGAGCATCTTTTCATCTGCCTAATAGCCATTTCTTATTCTTTTGATACATTATTTTTGAGTAGCCTTCCAGAAAGGTCATACGCATATATCTTCTTGTCACCAGTGGTGCCAGCACTGGGTATTATTTTAAAAACCTTTGCCACCTTCTGGATGAAAAGTGGTTATCTTATCCTAAGTGTGACCATTTCTCTTTGTTAAAAGTTGAGATATGATTCATATACCATAAAATTCACTTGTTTAAATTGTACAATGCATTGGCTTTTAGTATATTTAAACAATTGTGCAATGATCACCACTATCTAATCCAGAACATTTCTATCACCCTAGAAAAAAACCTTGGAGCAGTCAGTCCCCAAACTCCCTGCCTCCAGCCCGTGGCAACCACTGATCTTTCTGTCCCCGTGGATTTCGACTGTTTCTCTTCTGTTCCTTGGTCATACACATTTCTTGTGATTTATCAGGCTATTTACTCAGCATGTTTGTCTCCTGCACTGCTTGCCTTTTTCTTGATTTGTGAACACTACACGGCACGGATATTAGCTCTGTCCCATGTTGCAAATATTTCCCTGGTTTCCGATTTGACTTTTCAATTTTGTTCCTGCATTTCTTGACCTATGGGGGTTTGCAAGTTCCAGGCAGTAAAATCCAGTGATCTTCGCCTTTATGGTTTTATTCTTTGCTTTTTTACCTTAGAAAGGCCTTTCCCCACCCAGGATCAGATAAATAATTATTTAGGTTTTATTCTAGTTCTGTCTTGGTTTCCTTTTTCACTTTTAATTATTTAATCCAGCTGGCTTTTGTTATGGGTGGCTGGTGTGATTTCCTGTTGTTTTGTGATGTCAGTGAGAGGCTGTGTGTCAAGGCCTGTGACATGGTAAACGTTCAGTAAACAGGAGCTAAAATGATAGTAATGAGAGTCCGTGCCGGGTGGAGCTCAGAAGGACATGGGATTCCCGGTGCTGTGCCGTGGCTGGAGGAGGACCTGGCCTGGCTGTGCCAGTTGGCTGGGAGCCCCTCCACCCCAGAAGCCCTTGCTCTCACCTCTTCTTCTGAATCATCGTTCTTCGAAGGCAGGCAGTAGCTACCGTTGTCTGGGGCTTTGGGGATCTTGGTGGTGATGAGTCCCCTCTCCTCTGGTGCACTCTCCCCACCCGAGACGGGCGACAGAGGTTTTTTGTTGTTTCTTAACCACATCTTTTTCCACCCACACCCGGTGCAGAGCAGATGCTTGGCCGGGGCTTCCCCGAGCTGGTCCTGGCTTTGTGGCAGGGGGATGGGCCGTCGGTGCCCCATTCAAGCCTGGGGACCTGGCCCCACTGGTGTGTGCTACAGTAGACCCAGCCCTGGGGCCCCATGATACCCTCGGTGATCGTCACAGATGCGGGGCCTGGCTACAGTCCTCACTGGTGTTTTTTTTGTTTTTGAGAGGGCATCTTGAAGTAGCCCAAGCTGGAGTGCAGTAGCACGATCTCGGCTCACTGCAACCTCCGCCTCCCAGGTTCAGGTGATTCTCGTGCCTCAGCCTCCTGAGTAGCTGGGACTACACATGCACCACCACGCCTGGCTAATTTTTGAATTTTTAGTAGAGGCAGGGTTTCACCATGTTGGCCAGGCTGGTCTCGAACTCCTGACCTCAAGTGATCCGCCCATCTTGACCTCCCAAAGTGCTCGTTACAGGCGTGAACAACCCCCACCCACTGCAGGGAGCCAGGCTTGCCCCCTCCCTGCCAAGGGAGCTGCTTGCTCTCCCTTCTGTCTGGAGGCCAGCACAGCCTGGCACTCGTGGTTTGGGGCGTCCATGGCCTTGTGGTGGCGAGGCGCAGAAGGCGTCACCTGAAAAAGGTGTGGCCAAGGGCAGGGGTGCTGGGCTTAGCCAGGCTGGCCACAGTGGGGGCAGGAAGGATTCCTATGGGGACAGCTGGGAGCAGGATGTGGTCGTGCGAGGCGTGGGCTGACGGCAGCTGGCATGCAGCAGGGGAGGTGTGCTGGGACCAGGCCTGGAGTGGGGTCTGGTGGCCCTGCCGTGTATGGAGCTGAGTGCCGCCCAGAGATGCCATCTTGTCCTCAGAAGTGGCTCAGGCCTGCTGGGGACAGGGCAGGTGGATGGAAGCTGCTGCATGCCCTGTGCCATGTGCTGGTCCGCTGGCTGTCACTGCAGCGCAGCTCCCGGTGCCTGACAGTTGTTTGTCCTTATTTGGCACTTGAGAGCCCAGCGGTTTGGCCAGAATGGTGCCCTGTGCGGAGGGCACAGCTTGAGTGAAGGTGTGGAGGGAAAAGGCCCTGGGGGTGTGGCTCCCCTCCTTCCATCCTGCTCCTTGCAAGGCCCATCCCAGGACATTCCTCCTAGCCAGGTGGGCTGGATGGGGCCTGGACTTCCTGTCCATGTTTTGGGATGAGAGCGCTGGGGAAGGTGCCCACTGCGGGGTAGGGAGTGTAGGGCTTTCCAGGCATCATCCCTCATAAGCCACTGTCCCCAGGCCTTGCGCATAGCCCCACCATAGCCGACTCGAGAGTAGAAGCGTCCCACCATCCTCACAGCAGGCTGCAGGGGCCATGTGTAACTGGCCCCTCCACCCTTGGCCACCTGGTGGAGTCGGCACCCATATCTGAGGAGGGGACCATGTTGCTGCTGGGGACTCTGGGCTGGTCTGGAAGCAGGTGTGGTGGGGGCTGTCTTTCCCTGTGTGAAGGTCTTCCTCTGGGTGTCTGTCGCTGTAGGGAGGCCACTCTAGCATCTGAAAGGGGCTCTGTGTCCTTGCCATCATGATTCTGTCTTGGGGGTGGTTGCTGTCTCTCTGAGAGGGGGCTTTGTGTCTGTGTCCCTGTGATTCTCTGACATGCAGGAGGACCATGATGGGAACTGAGGGGAATTCACTCTGGGTGGGGTTTTAGACAGGTCCCCAAGTCCTGTCTGTCCCAGCATCTCTGGCTAATCACTTCCCCCGCCCCCCTCCCGCCACACACATACACGGGAAAAGCAGGCTGGTGTGTGTCCTGTTGCCCACACCACACTCAGTCACTCAGTGTGAGCTGGGGTGCCACCTGCCTGGAGGGGGGATCTGACTCTGAACAGGGATTCTGTATTTGGGGGTGTCACACTCACCATGTCTGTCTCTGCCTCTACCATCTGACTGGGAGAATTCCTCTCAGGGTTGGGGTGGGCACCAAGCCTTGCTCCCAGTAGGGGCCCAGCCCTGGGTTGGGCCCAGAGGAGGTGCTTGGAGGGTTTACTGGGTGACGGATGGATGAGCACTTGGGTAGGGGCCTGGGACCCCCAAAGCCCTCAGATGTCTGGGAAATAGGGGGATGTTCTGGCTGGGGAGGTTTCTGTTTCTGGCATTGGGGGGCTCTTGCCAGGAAAGGGCTTTTCTGGCAGCCATGTGGCTTTTCTGGAAGCTTCTCCCTTCTCTTTCCTCCTCCCCTGTGGGGAAAGGGCACCTGAGGCAGCAGGGTGCAGACCAAGGGGGGATCTGGCCCATAATGAACAGGGTGGTGGGGGTCTAGGAGCCGCTGCCCTGTGGACTGGGCCCACTGGGCATTCAGGGCAGCAGGCAGGCTCACTTGCAGAAGTCCAAGGAGTGGGTTCCATTATCATCCCCATTTTACAGGTGAGGAAACTGAAGCACAGCAGGCCAAAGTAATTTGCTCAGGGCCCTGCATTTGAAGGGTCTGTGAAGGAGGGGCCAGGCTTGGGGTCCTGGTGGGGGGCATAGCAGAGAAGCGCCCTGTGGCCTGTAGTTCCCACACTGATTCAGTCGCTGGAACTGGCTCATTGCCTTCAGTTTGCCCCCCAAGGAGCTTGGGAAAAGGGGGCTGAGATCACCCATCACACCCCATACCTCCCTCTGCTTCCCAGGCACTTGAGAGCTTGGGGGTCCCAGGTACCTACCCAAGTGCTCATCCATCCATCCACCCGGCAAACCCTCCAAGTACCTCCTCTGGGCCTGCCCCAGGGCTGGGCCTCAGCTGGCAGCAAGGTTTGGTGCCCACCCCAACCCCAAGAGGAACTCTCCCAGTCAGATGGTGGAGGCAGTTGCGTCATCAGGAAACCATGGCCGGTTCGATAAGCTCAGTGCTGAGGGAGAGGCACAGGAATTGCACTAATCATGACTCAGTGGTCAGAGAAGGCTCCCTGGAGGAGAGGAGGTTTTCTCTGCTGGGACATGCAGTTTGGGTCAGGCAGGGCATCACAAATGCAGGGGCTGGGTGGCAGGGGAAGGTGTGGGCGGGAAGGCGGCTGGAGGGAGACCAGGTGTTGGGGGTGCTGGGGCTGGGGGTGGGCAGATGAGGATTGGAGCCCTGGCTCAACTTCGCTATTCCCCATGGCTGGGGCACTGTGTGATTTTGCCTCCCAGAGTCTGTAGCATGGGGGCTCCTGATGGTGCCCTTGCGGGGAGGTCAGGGGGCTGACACACCTGAGCCTGCCTTTCAGCCTGCCCTCTTCCCTGGCCAGCTGGAGGGGCCTTGGGAGGCCCACCCCAGCCCTGAGAGCACTGGCTTGTAGCATCCCTATCACTCATGGTCTTCACTGGGGTGGGGGATGGCAGTAGGGGCAATCATCCCCTATGCCCCCCGTTACCCAGCACAAAGGATGCTTAGCCAGCAAAAGGCTTATGATGAATGTTGAGCACCCACCACCTAGCAGGCACTGGCTCGCGGCCAAGGACACCACGTGAGCAAAGCCAAGTCACGGCAGAGACCTGCATCAAGGAATGCGCAAGACCAGCTCATAGGACAACAGGCAGGGAAGGAAGTGAAGGGGCTTTGCGGCTCAGGATTTAGATACTGTGGTCAGGGAGGGCCTCCCTGAGGAGATGACACTTTGAAAAGCAGTCGTATTTGTGAAGCTGTGGGGGGAGCTGCCTCTCTGAGGGCACAGGCCCCGAGTGCACCTGGCACACTGAAGAAGAGTGGAGGCCAGTGTGGCTGGATCAGAGCGAGGGAGGGAGGCCCAAGAGGCTGAGGAGGTAACAAGGGTCTCTCAGATGAGGACCACAGGGGAGTTTTTGTTTTTGTTTGTTTGTTTGTTTGAGACAGTCTTGCTCTGTTGCCCAGGCTGCAGTGCAGTGCAGTGGCGCAATCTTGGCTTACTGCAGCCTCTGCCTCCCGGGTTCAAGTGATTCTCCTGCGTCAGCCTCCCAAGTAGCTGGGACTACAGGTACCTGCCACCATGCCCGACTAATTTTTGTATTTTTGTATTTTTTTGTGTGAGATGGAGTTTCGCTTTTGTTGCCCAGGCTGGAGTGCAGTGGCACGATCTTGGCTCACCACAACCTCTGCCTCCTGGGTTCAAGCGATTCTCCTGCCTCAGCCTCCCGAGCAGCTGGGATTATAGGCATGTGTCATCACACCTGGCTAATTTTGTATTTTTAGTAGAGACAGAGTTTCTCCATGTTGGTCAGGCTGGTCTCTAACTCCTGACCTCAGGTGATCTGCCTTGCCTCGGCCTCCCAACGTGCTGGGATTACAGGTGTGAGCCACCGCACCTGGCCTAATTTTTGTATTTTTAATAGAGACAGGGTTTCACCATATTGGCCAGGCTGGTCTTGAACTCCTGACCTTGTGATCTGCCCGCCTCGGCCTCCCAAAGTGCTGGGATTACAGGCGTGAGCCACTGCGCCCAGCCGGGAGTTTCTTTTGAGATGAGATTTTGCTCTGTTGTCGAGGCTGGAGTGCAGTGGCACCATCATAGTTCACGGCAGCCTCAACCTCCCTGCTTCAGCCTCCTGTAGCTGCAGGGGAGTTTTGAGCAGAGGAGGGTAGGCTGGAGCAGCATCGTGGGGGTGGAAATAGCTAATTCTGGACAGACTTGGGCGTAGTCTGATGGGACAGATGGCAGTTTTTGATGCTGCCCAACTCCCAGAGGGCCCAGGTGTCACACTGTTTTCCAGCCTGGCTCCTCTCTCCTCACTGGGGGCTCCTTGTGAATACCCCTTTCCCCCAGCAGTTGTCTGGGACTGGAATCCTGGCTGCTCAGCTCCCAGCATCCACCACTTTCTGCCTTTGAGGGATGGGCCGTGCCTCCCCTCCTGCACATCTTCTGTGGCTCCCTGGCATCTGGGGGGAAGATGGGGGACAGAGGCCTCCCTGCCCAGCTCTCTTGACCTCCCTCAGACCCCAGCCAGCTCAGACGCCGGTGGGTTTCAGATCCACCCAGGTCCCATGTTAAAATGCAGATTCCAAACTCCCTTCCAGATGTCCTGTGCCAGAAGGTCATAGAAGCACCCTGTGCTGTGTTCCCTCCCCCTTGGAGGTCTCTTGAGCCTTCTCATCTGTGAAGTAGGTGAAGGCACAGGAGGGCCACGTGAGGCTCACACACACTGCTCCTTGCACGGAGCTGGCCCGGGGCAGGGTGGTGAGGCTTCTCCTTCATAAATCTCACTGTCCATGATGCCCAGGATTGTCCTTTGCTCTGGAACCATGACGTCCTACTTGGTTTCGTCGTGTCCTTGATGGTGTGACGCCCATTTCTGTGACTTCCTCTTGGAAAACTTTTTGAAAAATGTTGCCGGCCTGTGAATTCCACAATCTGGAAACTGCTGGTGGGCCACCCAGGCTCCAATGCCTGGCACACAGCAGATGCTCACTAAAGGGTGGTGTGGGGTCTGTGAGCGTCATTTCCAGCCACAGTCAAGCCCCTGTTGTCTTCTAGCCTGGGGCTGTGCCTTCTGCCCTCTGGGTGTTGGCTCTTGCTATTCCCTTAACCTCCAGTGCCTTTTTCTCCACCATCCCCACTTCGGAGAATATTCAGCAAACGCTACTGCTCCTTTCTCTGTGCTGGGCCAAGACCGAAAGATGGAAAAGGAAGAGGGAGGCCTTCTTGAGCCTCTGGTGCATGGGAGCAGGGGAGTGACAACTCAGGAGGGCTGCCCAGGGAGGGGCCTTCTTGCTCCCAAGTCTCTCTTAAGGCTGAGCTCCTAAGGCCCTGTGCTCCTCCCTGCCTTACCATTCCCCTGAGATCCTTCCATACCCTCTGGGAGCTCTGTTGCACACACTATGCTCATATTCTCAGGGAAGGGTAGTGGCATTATTATCCCACCTTAGAAAATGCAGACTCTTGCTTGAGCCCAGGAGGTCAAGGCTGCAGTGAGCTAGTTTATACTCTATCCTGGGCAACAGAGAGGGACCCTGCCTCAAAAACAAAATACACACATACACACACGTGGAGACTCATTTTGGGAGGCCGAGGCAGAAGGATCACTTGAGCCAGGAGTTTGAGACCAGCCTGGACAACATAGCGAGATCCTATCTCTATCTCTACAAAAAAATAATCAGCCACATGTGGTGGCATGTGTCTGTAATCCCAGCTACCTGGGAGGCCAAGGCAGGAGGCTCACTTGAGCCCCCAGGAGTTTGAGGCTGCAGTGAGCCAGCCTGGGCCACAGAGCAAGACCCTATCTCTTAAAAAAAAAAAAAAAAAATTGGAAACTGAGGCTAGGAGAGGTGAGTCACTTACCTATGGAAGAGAAGGCAGAGTTGGGACTCAAGCACAGGACTAAGTGTCCCAAACCTCAGGGTGGTGGAGTTGCTGCATGGTTCTGTAGCCCTGAGGGATTTCTGGGCAGGATACTGGATGGCTTTTAGCAACTAGGCTCAGTCTTGATGCTGCCCACCCCAGAGAATGGCTGAGACGCACCACGTTTAAGGAGAGTTTGCGAGGTGAGGACCTTCCTCACCTCAATCCCATATTACCTTGGGATGGTAATAAGGTCTATGAAATAGGTCAAAGTCTGGGTAATGCATGGGTTTAATAGGTTTCTCTGCTGCAGGACTTCTCAGAGTCTTTAATGGAGCTAAGCAGCAGCATTCTCTTTCCACAAATGACTGTCCTCTCTCGGAGAATCCTTTGCATTGGCTGCCAGGAAGCTGAGACAAATCTGTGGCAAGAGGGACTCTTGTCTGTGTTGTAGCAGCTGTCTCCCAGCTCTTTCTGGGTGTCTCTAACCTGACTAAAATCATTTTTGGAAGAAGGCAAGGAATTTTTTTTTTTTTAAGACAGGGTCTCACTCTGTCGACCAGTCTAGAGTACAGTGGTGTGATCTCAGCTCACTGCAACCTCTGTCTCCCAGGTTCAAGTGATTCTCCTGCCTCAGCTTCCCAAGTAGGTTAACTTTTTGATACTAGACAGTAAGCTTGGATTAAGTATTTTCCATAATAATGCTCATTCATCCATCCCGGCAGCATCCACTTCAGGTTCTGGGCTGGGGTGAGGGATCAGCCATCCAGGACAGGATCTGGAATTTGCTCTGCGCCTTTTCAGACCCCCTCCCTCTCCTCCTCCAGTAAGAAGGTCAACAGGACCTGCTTACGGGCCCCCTATTACTGAAAGCAAACTGAACCTCCAGTTAGTGTCCTGCCCAAGGTTTCAAAGGTAAGTAAGTGGTAGAGCTAGGGCTCTTCTAACCACCTGCAGAGCTAGGCCCAGGCTGCCAGATGCCTCCTTGAGGGCATAGGTGTGGCAGAGGCGTGGCTGGTGCTGGAGGGTCGACTGAGGCCTGTCCCACTGCTGCTGTACACCGATGAATGTGGGCTCAAAGGCTCTGGGGAAGGTAAGACCACCAGGGAGCTAGTGTGGCCTGGGGGTTCCCGGGGGTGGGCGGTCTCTCCCCAAGGCTGGTCTGGGCCAAGCCCTTGCTGCTGGGGTGTGTCAGATGCTGCCCTGTGTCCTGCCCTCCAGCGTCCCAGGAGGAGGGGGACAGCCAGCAGGCCTGCTCCTGTTAAGAGCTTCCCCACCTTAGAAAAAGCTCAAGCTGATTCCCACAGCCTTGAAGCCCCATGGTGGCTTCTGGGGGCTGCTGTGGCAGGCTCACCTGTGCCTCTTCCTGCTCTCTCACCAGGGGAGGCCATGCCATCAGCCTTGCTCTCCACGTAGGTGTGGTCACGCCACCAGAGCTCTGGCCTTTGACTGGTGTGTCCAGCCCTGCCCTGCCCCGACTTGCCTGTCTCTGCTGGATGCCTGAGGGCAAAGCCAGTAACAGACCCCACTCAAGCTGGTTATGAGGACCTGGCAGGGTGGGGTGTGGCCCAGTACCTCGGAAGACTCTAGAAGGACCATCCTGGCCCTATAAATGTTTGTGCCAAGACAGGTCCCCTGTCCCTCAGCACACAGAAGGGGCAGTAGGTAGCAAGACAGTTTCCAGGTAACAGCATGAGGGCAAGTGAGGCCTAGAGAGGAAGGGTCTGTTGCCTCCAGCCCGTCACATTCCCTCCAGGCGGGCTGAACAGCCAGGTGGGATAAAGAGGGATCCTCAGGTAGGCGGGAGTCAGGGAGAGCTGCGTGACCCCACGAGGCTGGTGTTTCATCTTCACTTCTCAGATGACGGGACTGTGGCTCAGAGACCTTTGCAGGGGGACTGATCACAGCACAGGGCCATTTGAAGGGAGCCTGGAACTGCATTTCCATGTGGACCCTGGGTGGATCTGGAACCAGGCTGGCTTTCCTAGCTCCCCCGCCCTTTGGCTCCCTTATGTTCTTAGCCTTCTTTTCACAACAAACTCAGAAGCAGCCAAGTAGTTGGTTGTGTTGTCTACAGTTGCACTGAAGCACGTTTTATTTCGGCTAAGTGACAGTCCTTTGTTGTCCCTGTCTTGTAATTAGTTAGGGTAGTATGTTGGTTATATTACGTGGAATTTATTGCAGGATGGTAAGGGAGCATGTGACAAAATGGGGCAATAGTTCTGTAAGGCTGAGAGAAGCTGGGGGTGTACCCAGTGGCTAGGCTACTCAGAGGGGACTGTCATGCTGTCAGTAGTGTAGTGGGAGCCAAGCAGGCTTTACTCACCGGCCTGTTAACAGCTGTGCGAGTCATGCCTTTCGCTTGTGTTAGCTCACCTTGTGAAAAAATGAGCTGAATTACAGATGACAACTAAGGCATGGAGAGCCGAACCCTTTGTCCAGGGTTGTATAGGAAGTGGCAGGGTCAGGGCTGAATCTTAAAACCTAGAGGGTAGGGCCCGGCGTGGTGGCTCATGCCTAAAATCCCAGCACTTTGGGAGGCCAAGGCAGGCGGATCACCTGATGTCAGAAGTTCGAGACCAACCTGGCCAACCAACATGGTGAAACCCCAGCTCTACTAAAAATACAAAAATTAGCTGGGTGTGGTGGCAGGTGCCTGTAATCCCAGCTACTGCGGAAGCTGAGGCAGGAGAATCGCTTGAACTCAGGAGGTGGAGGTTGCAGTGAGCCGAGATTGCGCCACTGCACTCCAGCATGGGCAACAGAGTGAGAATCTGTCTCAAAAAACAAAAACAAAAACAAAAAACCCTAGAGGATAAAAGAACTATAACATCTGGGATAAAGTTAGCTGTTGAAATAAATACAAGTCCTACCGTTGGGGTAGTGTCAGAGCTGGCCTACGTCTTTGACTTTGAGATTCCTAGCAGCCAGAGCAAAGAAAGAAATAGATTATTCCCACTGGAGCCACAGTGGCCATAACAAACAGAAGCCATCTGTTTAGATGCTGGGAATGGAGAAGACTTGCTCCCCAGAAATAGACGCTGCAGGATGTGGTGGGTGACAGTCTACTGTTCAAACCACAAATACCTGAAATGATCTGGCCACTTTGATCACCCAACCACAGTAGAGCCTAAGCAGGTCCAGGGAGCAGCTGTTGCTGGCCTGGCTTGACTTTTGAGGGAGGTGGAATAGCGGGCATGTGAGAGGAGGGAACCTAAAGCCCCCACAGCTGCTGACACAGCCCCCAGGTTTGAGCTTGTCTCCCCTCTCACCCATCCCCCCATATAGCTTAATCTGATGGGCATCTGGTGGTCCTTCCCTGCAGTGGCCAGAGCCTGAGCTGTCCAGGCTGAGGTTTCGACTGAAGCAGGGGTTGTCCTGCGCCCATGTGCCCACACGCTGCAACCTGGCTGGAGCCTCTGGCATAGGACACCCATACCACCAGGTAGCTGTGGCGGACCCCGGCTCTGATACTTGGCAGGCTTGGGTTGAGATTGTGGCTCTAGGCCTGGGCGGCTCTCAAGGGCTGCTGTGGGGAGTTGGGGAAGAACCCCTGGGTTGTGCTCAGCCAGCAGGCAGGTGGCAGCCAGGCTGGCTGTGGGTGAGGAGGGGAATCCTCTTTTCACCACTGCCTGCCTGCTCAGCAGTTCTTCAGCTGCTGGGGGTGGAGCTGGCTTGCAGGGGCCAGAGTCAGAGTGAAACCGGCAGCTCTGCTGGTTAATCTCAGCACTGACACTGGGGACTAGGCCTGGAGCGGAACTGAAAGGGAGACTAGGCCCGTTCCCCTCCAGGCCTGGCCTATATCCTCCCAGTGATCCTTAAGGCCTGCAGCTAGGGGGAAGGGTGGGGGCCAGGCAGGGCCAACTGGAAAAGTAGCAGAAGGAAGTGGCCACTCGCACCTTACCCATCTTGCAGACAGGAAATGAAGGCTCTGCAGGGCTGGCTGGCTGTAAAAATGGGCAAGAGCGCAGAGGCCCCACTCCCTGCACACTGCGCTGTGTCCAGTGCCCGTGTGGATGCCATGTGAGGCCTCACTCTGCCTGCCTCATCCTGGCTGCTGGACCTCTGGGAGTAGGAGGTGAAAATGCCCTGGCTGGTGCTGGTCACTTCAGGCTGGAATTTTCTAGTCATGCAGCTTTCTAGTGAGAGGCCGCAGTGAGCTGTGGCCAGTGTTGGTCATTCCTGCAGTCATTACTCTCCCCCAGCCTGTTGTGTCCGCCAACCAGAGCAGGCCCGGGAGCTCCCAGGAGACCTGCTGGAAGGGCCCAGGTGGCCATCCTGCTCCTGCCAGGCTGCCCTCTTACCTCACTGTTCATTGACTCTCCTGCAGGTGGGGAAGGGGGATAAAGGAGGTGGCCAGGCCACTGGGTCATGATCCTTCCGACAGAGGTACCTGGCAGCTCTGTGTGTAAAGCAAGGTTAAGCATCTGGTTTTGGGGGTCAATTCAACAGCACTAGCAGCTCCAGTCCAAGGTATGCCCTTTTGGGCTGAGGTGGAGGTCAGATCACCTGAAGCCACAGTTGCTAGAACATCCTTTGGGCTGCCTCTGCTTTCCATCCCCCTGCTCCCAGTTTGTTAGGGGTTGTAGTATTTTCCAGGAACACCTGAATGGAGGGGGCCCAGTGGGGCCACTTCTGTCCATTCCTTATCTCATCTCTTTCTCCCCTTTTCTTCTTTCGGCCATCTTTTCAGTCTTATCACAAGAGGAAGGGGAGGGGCAAACCCCCTCCTGAGCAGATTCCCAACCGGAAGCAGCTGGCTCCTTGGCTGCAGAGTGCCCCAGCACAGGAAGCATCTGCAGGGTCAGTTGAGACCTGGGAGCAGGTTTCCTGCTGGCAAAGGAACAGTGGCTAACTCCTATCCACCCTGCAGCCCTATGTGCCGGGTGTCCTGGGAAGGTCCAGGGCCAAGATTTTGTGGTTTTACAGTGGCTATAACTTAGGCTAGCCATGCTAGGCTCTGCCCCTTTGGGCTTGGTGTGATGAGACCGTCAGCAGCTGCTATCACCTGGCTGGGCAGGGAGCTGTTTGCTCACCAGTGGGAAGAGAAACGGATGTCAGACACATGGCAGAGTGGGAATGTCTCCAAGTCCAGGTCCAATGGGCTGGGAGGGCTGGCCTTCTGCCAGCACATGCTTCTTGGGATCTCAGTGTGAATGGTGTTCAGGAGGCTAGGGGAAGGCACCCTGGACCTCACTACAGGCTCAGAGCCTGCCCAGCAACACCATGGATACTCTCTCTAAAAGGGGGACTCCTGGGGAGACTATAGACAAACTCAGGCCTGGCTGGAAGAAAGAGCATCAGGAACAAGCCTTGAGTACCCCAACTTGGTCTCGTAGAGTTCAAGGCCCAAGCTACAAGCAGCTTGCTCCAGCATCCAGGAGGTCCGGTGGTGCACACGGCTTGAGATGCCTGACAACCTTTACACCTTTGTGCTGAAGGTGAGTGACAAGGCTTTTCACACCCTGGGGCAATACAAATACATACACATACAGCAGACCCAACCCTGTTCCCTTCCTCCCTGCCAGGTGAAGGACCGGACAGACATCATCTTTGAGGTGGGAGACGAGCAGCAGCTGAATTCATGGATGGCTGAGCTCTCGGAGTGCACAGGCCGAGGGTGAGGTCCTGGGCCCTCGTCCCTGGCACCACCTTTGCTGCTACCACCCCTGACCTGCCCAGATCCTTAACCTCAGCCTCTTCTCCAGCAGGCTGGAGAGCACAGAAGCAGAGATGCATATTCCCTCAGCCCTAGAGCCTAGCACGTCCAGCTCCCCAAGGGGCAGCACAGATTCCCTTAACCAAGGTGGGTAAACCAATAGCTAGGCCATTGTCTTCTGGGTACGCTGGAACCCAGACTCAGCCCAGGACATAAGGTAGCCCCCTGCGACCACCATCACCCATCTTATCTAACAGGTGCTTCTCCTGGGGGGCTGCTGGACCCGGCCTGCCAGAAGACGGACCATTTCCTGTCCTGCTACCCCTGGTTCCACGGCCCCATCTCCAGAGTGAAAGCAGCTCAGCTGGTTCAGCTGCAGGGCCCTGATGCTCATGGAGTGTTCCTGGTGCGGCAGAGCGAGACGCGGCGTGGGGAATACGTGCTCACTTTCAACTTTCAGGGGATAGCCAAGGTATGGGGTGGGGTGGGGTGGGGTGGGGCAGGCAGGACCGTGCCACCCCTCTCCACTGGAGTTCAGGGTCCTAGAGGGACAGCCCGAGCCCACCATCCTCTCCTCCCACAGCACCTGCGCCTGTCGCTGACAGAGCGGGGCCAGTGCCGTGTGCAGCACCTCCACTTTCCCTCGGTCGTGGACATGCTCCACCACTTCCAGCGCTCGCCCATCCCACTCGAGTGCGGCGCCGCCTGTGATGTCCGGCTCTCCAGCTACGTGGTAGTCGTCTCCCAACCACCAGGTCTGACCCTACTGCCCTTTGCTGAAGGGGGTGGCTGACACTGGGTAGAGGGTAGAGGCTTGCTGCAGACCCAGGGGTACAGGTATCTTGTTCTGTGTCCTGTCAGCACTTGCCTCAAGACTGATGGTGTGGTCTCTCTTGGTCACTTGTCCTAGGTTCCTGCAACACGGTCCTCTTCCCTTTCTCCCTTCCTCACTGGGATTCAGAGTCCCTTCCTCACTGGGGTTCAGAGTTGGGCCTTCCCCACCTTAGTTCTTCTGGCTGTCCCCGGGGGCTCAGCCCAGAGGGTCTCCCAGGGCGATCCTCACCCCCCGAGCAGATCTTCCACCTGGTGCCTTCGCCCGAAGAACTGGCCAACAGCCTGCAGCACCTGGAGCATGAGCCTGTGAATCGAGCCCGGGACTCGGACTACGAAATGGACTCATCCTCCCGGAGCCACCTGCGGGCCATAGACAATCAGTACACACCTCTCTGACCAGTGAGGAATTCCAGGCCTCAACAGCTGCCCTTGAGGAGCACAGGCAGAAGTGTGAACTTGTGAATGTAATTGATCTTTCCTTCCTTCCAGAGAAAGATTTAAGGGACACTGTTAACTGCTCGTGCCAGTTTGGAAGTGACCCTTCTATTAGGCCTGTTGAAGGGCCCTCCTGTAGGTTTCATCTATCCACCTGGCTTTCTCCTTATTGTTTACAGATGTAGTTCTTGTTAGAGGATGCCGCTAGCTCCTGCCCGGGGTCCCTATGCCCAGTCCCCGTTACTCTTAGAGAAAGGAGTTGGGGTGAGGGCCAGAGCTGGCAGTGGAAACTTGTTCTCTTTTTCACTGACACTGTCACAGCGGATGACAGACTTTCTACGGGGAGGAGGGGGGGATCATCAGGAAGCCCAGAACACTAACAAGCGGTTCTCCCATCTACCGTCAGTCCACATGGCAGGTCTGCTGTGTCCACACCACAGATGACCACATCTAATCCTGCTTCTACTCTCAGCTTTAGGACAAAAGCTCTGTCAGAGGCACAAGCTGAAGGTCAAAAATGATTTAAAACATTTTACCTCAGACTAATTTCTTTAAAGGATTCAGGTTCAAAACTTAACCACTGCTTATTTCAGTGCACTGTTTCAACTAACACCCATGCTATTTTTGTAGTCAGAAACAGCTATGCAAACCCTACCTAATTTACAGTCTGAGCCAGCATGCTGGCTTGTCTACTGCATCCTCGGGACAGTCACCTGCCACTGAGTGGCCACTGTCCTTCCTAAATGTCAAGAAGTGAAGTATGTCACCCTTTCAGGGAAATTCAGGCAATTACTGAAATAGGAGGGTGGCAAGAACAGTTCTATCCTGGTGCCTTACGAATAAAAAACTGGATTCTGGTTTACAGCAGCTTTACAGTGATAGTTAAATTAACTGGGGCTAGGGGAAGAGCAAGCAAAAAGGGAAGAAGGACTCCTAGGCCCTTTCTAGTAAATCCTTCAGCAACAAGGCTGGCTTGGTGCCCTCCAAGCATCTAATGGCTTATTAAATTATCCCACAAGTGGGTTTTAGGCTCCTTTTTTGAGCCAAAATGGAAGCTGGGAATCTGGTGCCATAACTAATGAGAAACTCCTTTAATAGCCCACAATCAGTGTTCTGTTCTAGCTGGCTACTGCTTCACTGGATTGAGAATCTATCTATCTCCTTGCACACATGGGCACACACAATCTCCACCATCCAGGGAGGTCCTGAAGTCAAATCTCTATCTATACAAGTGATACAATTCATAGGGGGCTGGCTCCTCCCAGAACCTGTCTGGAGGCTCAGAAACGGGGGCAGTGACAGTGGAGTCAGCTGCTCTTGGGTGCCAGCAGAGCCATTCAGTACAACCCCCAGGCTCACAGCAGTGGCTTCTAGGAAACTGGGAGTTTAGATCAGCTTTACAGATACATCGATCAGAGGCTAAAATGAAACCTCAGCCTAAAACTCATAGGACTGACTGCCTGGGAGGAGGGTTAGGTCTGCTTCTTCCACTTATACTTAGTCTCTGTGCTCCAAGAGGTCAAATTTTTGCTTCTAGAATTTCCTTGGGGTCTTTCAGAGGGTGGGGGAACAAACCCCTATGCACTTTTCTTTTTTTTTTTTTTGAGATGGAGTTTCTCTTGTCAACCGGGCTGGAGTGCAGTGGTGCAATCTTGGCTCACTGCAACCTCCACCTTCCTGGTTCAAGCGATTCTGCCTCGACCTCTCAAGTAGCTGGGATTACAAGCACCAGCCACCATGCCTGGCTAATTTTGTATTTTTAGTAGAGACAGGGTTTCACCATGTTGGCCAGGCTGGTCTCGAATGTCTGACCTCAGGTGATCCACCCGCCTTGGCCTCCCAAAGTGCTGGGATTACAGGCGCGAGCCACCGCGCCCAGCCTACACCACTTTTAGTACCAACACTCTTGGGTGATTTCATGGACCCTAAAGCAGACCTGACACTGATCCAGATTTGCAGTCCATTTTTAAGGACACCTGTCTTTATTTCCTCAAAGTCAAGCAGCTTTCTCTGGAAAATGAATGCTAATTAGTGTGAACCAAAAGAGTAAGTAAGAGTCTGAAGTTTTTTTAAAGGAGAAAGCTTATTATGGAAAGTCACTGGTCCTCCCCTCCGCACAGGAAAGGTACCCAGTAGATAATGAACCAAATTAAGTTCCCTCCCTCCAGCCAGAAGTTAAACATCTGGGATATGACGTCTTCATGCCAGGGGCACTCATTTCTTAGCAGCCTCTCTACATACATCTCTCAGGTGGTGCCAAGAGGCACACCAGGTAGAGCAAACTTAGCAGCTCTGACTAACAGGCTGCAAAGTGCAAGTTCAGATTCTGTGGCAGAGATTTGGAAGGCACCCACCTCCAGACTGCTTCCCGTCCAAGTTACCAGGACAGCTCAAAAACATGCTGACAGAAAACTCCCATGGCTCTAGGAAGAAGTGACACTAAGCCAACACCTTTCTTTATGTGGGAGCAGAATCAGCTGATGAAGGGGTGGGCAGCAGTGTGGGGCAGGCACCCCACTGGCTGCAGCTAGCCCACCATAGGCACAGCACATCCCACCACTCTCCTTCCAGTCCTGACCAGGCCCCAGCCGGCAACTTCTACCGAGAGCCATGGCTCAACACCAAACTGGACAGTAGACATCATGATCCCTCCAGTTAGCTCTAATTACAGACCCCACCAGTACAGCTTGACAGCTCCCGGCACCATCCCTTCCTTCATCTGACTTATTGAACTTTTACAAACTAACAGTCACCAGCACCAAAGAATTAAGTCAACTAACCTGCCTTGAATTTTAGACCAGCAATCCATATGGCTTTATCTGGTATAAATCTTCTGCCTTTGATCATTTCTGGACCGTAGGAAAAAGGAATAGCAATCATTAAAATCTTGGGCCAGAGAACACTATTTTTACATAACAGTTTCTTAACCTAAAGTCAAGGCCTTGGACTCTTCCCTGAGGGTTGCCTGAGATTCCTTCATGCTTTCTATTCAGGACTAAGTCCCTTACTGCAAATGTGTTAGCTCTAACATCTCCCACAAGCTAGAGGAACTTGCGAGTATATTAACAAGGACACATCTGACATCCTGTGTTTGGTTAGAATATACAGCACATTGTGATAACATAAAGTGGATTCATCTTGTATCATTATAGGCAGAAGGTATTTGGCAAATTTTTATGTATTGTTTTATGTACTGTACAAGTAACTTATTCTTGAATAATGCAAATTTTGCTATAATGTACAAATTGCTATATGTGAATTAAAAAGTTTTCAGAATCTTGATTTGCTGTCATAATATTTAAAGGCTCTATTAAGACCATGGTGTCTCTACAAAATCCTTGCCCTGCCCAAATACTCGCTCTTCCCTTTGTCCTCCCCGTTGCAATCTGGGAATACTAACAAATGCTTATGAGTCCATCCATGTCAATAAGCAGCTTTGTACATCTTTGTATCTTTTCAGCCTTCATGCCCTCTGGATTTCTTTATTGCAATTTTTTTCTGAGTGTCTCCTGCCCCCTACTGGTAAAGTAGAAAAATGCCCGAATTGGGAACTTCCAGCTAATGACACTCATTTTGGTTCAGGAGATATTAAAAAGGAAGCTTACAGAATCGGTGTCAGCCCGAGGATGTGGAATTTCAGTGCTGCCCAACTCTGGCCAACCTTCCTCCTCCTGAAGCAGATCTCTAATCCACCAAAGAGAATAGCTCAGTCTTGTCTTTTTCTAGAGATACCTTGAACCAGAACTAAGGGTGAAGAAGAAAAATCATTTCACAGCTACCTTCCGGGATATTCAAAATGCACCCTTAGCACACCTGCTTTGATATTAAGTATCCTACAAAGAAGTAGCTTATACAGACACACACTAACTTGATCAGTTTTTAAAACTTTTTTTATTTTTTAAATTTTTTTTAAGTTTTTATTTTATATTATCTACAAAGTAAAAGTTTTTCCCTTAACTTAAAAGTTGAACCACTGTAGACAGTGATCACCTCATCAAACTTGATTTATAAATAATAATCCGTCAGTTTGACGGTAAGAATTTACTGAAACTTTGTCAAGTTTAGTAAAAGGGCGTTCCAAGTCTTGATTTTTTTTTTTTTTTTTTTTTAGCAGTAATAGCAGCAAGAATCACTCTTGTTACTTCTTTTGCTAGCTGATGTGTTCATGACTTTCAAGGGTTATTAAAAAATAAATAACTTCCAGTTTCGGCAAGCAGAGCTGGGGTACCTGCGGGACTCTGAAACAGCATATGGAATTATGGAATAGCCCCCAAGTTCCTAAATGCCTCTACTCGGTCCAAGTATCTTCCACTGCAAGTGAACTGTTAGCATTCCTATTGGATGTTACAAGAAATCAACATATATATTTTAAAAACAAAATAAATGAAATTCTAGTTTTCTGTGCTTCCAGTTGGTAGAAGCAGTAGAAGGGAGGAGGGAATTTGGCCTTTCGGTTCCTCCAGGGCAGCCTTACAACTGCTGTTGGTGGTGGGCTTGTACTGTAAAAAGAAAAGCGAACATTGAAACAGAAAACTGGCAACACCACACATCAGCCTAGTGTCTCTGCAGCACATGATTGTAAACTATCCTCGTGCTAGCTGAACAAAACTCAAAATTGAATTCGCTTTTCCCCCTCCCATCTGCACCAAAGTGGGGAGGGTTGGGTGGGTGGGTAGAAACAAACCAGTCAGACGTAAAACCACTTCAGATAAAACTCCCAGAAGACTTGTTCATGGGGTAGAAAAAAAGGCCTTAACAAACCCCCTCCCCAAATATTAGCCAAGCACCAGTATTGCTTTCAGAATAACAGGTCAGACTGTGAAGTATCGCCATGGCAGCCATCAAGTAGTAGAGCACAATCACAGGGCGCTCTCCCCTGTTCAGGGGCTGGGGCTAACGCTACACTCAAAGCCAGTCCATCCACAGCGCTTTCTCAGCAGTATCTTCTCCAGAGCTACAATCAAACTCTGCCATGGTAATAACCCCCCACATGTCAGACTTTTGGGACTCAGGAAGGAAAACACTGCCCTGTCCAGCCTGTCATAACAAGGAAGGCCAACTGAGTCCTAGGCATGCATCAGGCTGCTGTTGCTGCTGCTGCTGCTTCTCATCAAGCCAAATCCTGTATACCATCAGAACACACACAGACTCGGCTCCCGGAAGCCTCAGGCCCTGATGCTGAACTGATCGTCACAGTCCCTCCTGTGCACACTCCTGGACGGGTCTTGCTAGTTCTCAAATGCGGGGCTTGAAGCACTGGCCCTGCCTGCCATTCCACCTGTGCGAGCAGAATGCTTTGGGGTGCCCCGGCGGCCCCTGCACACACACGCCTCACCTGAAGGGTGCGTCATATAGGGGAAATGCGCTGTTGTCGAGACTGGAATGGGCTGTAGTGCACTTTGAGCGAGGGCGGCCTGGGGACCGCCGGGTGGCTGTGTCGTCATTAGCATCATTGGCGCATGGGCAGTTGGATGAGAAGGAACCATTCCTGACTGTACATGAGCCTGAAACAGAGAGCTCTTTTACGCATACAGGCAACATCTCCGGCTTCAACAACATGTCAACTGTGTTCCTTTCACTGGGCTGGGACTCTCAGGAAAGGGCAACGGTGGGCCTCAGGGCCCAGTTCTGTTCTCTGGGGACAATCTCTAGTAGATTATCTATTGACCTGAAGACGCGCTTCACCTTTGGGCAGATCCTGCAAGGGTCAGGGAGCAGGCAACAAGTGAGCCTGGGTAGAAGTCAGGGCTGTGCTGTCCTAACCCTTGACATTTCTGATCATTGTATTCTATGTATGGGGTAAGATCTTCACAAAGATTAGACACTGGATCCAAGGGCAGCTTTCTCAACTTAATATCATACAAGATTCAATGATGCTTCAGAATCAGGCTGCCATGTGGGGCCTGAGGTAGTTTTGCAGATAACATCCCTTTCAAATAGGAAAACAGATTACATTAATAAGCAGAGACTGTCACAGTCAAGTATGTGAATTACTTGGACCTCTGTTCATTTGCCTCTCTCCCTCTGCTTCTGGTCTGCTCACCAGGCAGTGAAAAGAGACTCTTAGGCCCCCGTGACTCTCTCAGAGATATGCTGATGGAG
The DNA here is from genome assembly GCF_000001405.40 of Homo sapiens. Lineage (NCBI taxonomy): Eukaryota > Metazoa > Chordata > Mammalia > Primates > Hominidae > Homo > Homo sapiens. The sequence goes on from NC_000012.12 coordinate 111,454,444, forward strand.
CAGGAGGAGGAGGAGGAGTTGGAGTTTTTAATGGCTCCAGTGAGATGGAAAGGAGTAACCTGAAGTCATCTGGGCCAGCCCAGCGTCTCTGTACCAAGTTCAACCTGGTCTCACTCACTGTCAAGTTGGAAAGGTGATTTTAGTCAGCCCAAACAGCTGGATTCCAGCTCTGCAGGGGGTTGGCAGGGCCAGGAAGAGCCCTTGTTTCCTTTTTCCCACACTGTGCACTGTTCTAGACTACGATAAGCCTTGGATGAAATGCCGTTTTTACTCTCACATATTCAAACGGGCACATGGCAAATTTGAGCTTCCCTGTGTTAACCTTTTTGCCCTTTCAGCACAAAAACAGAGTGAGGTTTTAGGGATCCCTGACTTACATGTAAGTTCACATGCCTACTTAGCCACCAGCCTCTGGTAGACACCTACAGGACCCCAGCTCTTATGAAGCTGACTCCACCAAACCACGCTGGCCCACACGGACCAAACCGGCTTCCCTCCCCACTATCAAAAAGCAAATCAACTGCAGTGCGCTACACCACAGAACCTAAACTTTGCAGGGTGAGGACGCCCAAACTTCCCAGAGCTGTGGAACTCTACTTACAAGGTAGCCTTCTGAGAGATAGATCCAACTGAGTCGCATCTCTAGCCCACACCTTGCCAGAGCCTCACTGGCGCACTATTTAACAGGAAATGGAATTCATTGTGGCAGGTCTCACTTAGACCCGCCTCAGAGAGTTCTGTTATGAAAGTAGCAGAGACATCTAATACAGCCAATTCACCCGTAACAGCCCCAGGGAGGGCCTCAAGGCCAGCGTTAGAGCCCAACTTCAGTGCAGCTCCTTCTCCTCATTAAGACAATCCCCTGGGCCCTGGAGTGCAGGGACCTTTGTCAGCAGCTGATGCAGACAGCAACCACTGAGATGGCAAGCACACCTTTCACCTGTAGCAGCTTACACTGGAGGTGAGCTCCAAAGTGCTTCCAGGGCTGCTCTTAAAGAAAAATGGGACCACCTGGGTGCTTCCAGCTTCTAGTTACACTGCACCAATGTCCAAGGCCAAGCCCTCTCAAGAGTACAACTTATGGTCAAAGCAGATATATGGATAACCAGGGAAAACAATTGGAGAGATGTGTCTGGAACTCATGTGAGTAACAATCAAGTTGACAGGCCCCGGTAGTCACTTCGGAGAGCTGAGACTCTGTGAAGGCCATCATCCCTGCCTGGCTTCCAAGGTAAGTGTGTAGGGGAATATATATGTACACATATATATAGTAGTGAGGCTATATAGACATAGCAAAGCAGACACAGAAAGGAAAGAAGGACTGGGTTGCATTCCAGAGTCAAAGATATTTTTAAGGTCTCAGTTGGAAAACTAAAGGACTGACCAATCAGCACCTTCACTGATCCCATGACAAAACCACACAAACATTCCCTTAGGGCCAGATCACGTGTATTTGAGAGGGAAAGGGAGACAGGCAAATGGCATGACACACAGGGTTTCCTAGCTGGGAGAGCCTCTAGCTGCTTACTGATAACCTTCACATTCTACTTGGCCTTCACAGAAAGTTGGCTAAAGCTGGTATTACCTGAGGTACGTGGGCCATGTGGGGTGGGTTGGTATACGCCGGCTGAACGTGAGAAGGATGGATCGTAAAGACAGTCTGTTGTGCTGCTGGGAAACTATTCTGTGGCGACTGCGTGTTGGAGGCAGGTGTCATGGAGGGTGGAGTTGGCGCAAGCCCCGCGTGGTAAATGGCTGACTGCTGCTGTGGACTGGCCAGATGGAGAGCCTGGGCGGCCTGGTGCTGATGGTGCTGCAAAGCGACAGGAAAGAATTGAGAGGAAAACTTCTTTAATGAAAAGCAGCCAAGGGATACCCACAAAGCTAAGCTTTGCACACTTGGGCCTATGATGAGGGTCACTGGAAAGTACAGGAGAATGTACAGGGTGGTAAGAGCAAGGCTGGAGGTGCCTCCCATCTGGACAACTCCTTTCTAGGGTACAGAAGCCTGATTCTCAGTCTGGCAGTTAGAAACTTCTGAGCATACATACTAAAGTCAAAAAAGACTACTGCCCCAGGGAACTGATAGATATCAAAGACATCTTTAACTGCCTCCATTAGCAAACATAATTCAAGAAGCTCATAGGAAAATAACCTCATCACATAAACCTTAGAAATTAAAAAGTCCCAAGCAAATAGGAATTTGCCTTATGAACTTTATGTTAAATTTGATTTTTCATTACTGCAAGTTTCCAGAGCTTATCCAATCACCTTATTATCAACATGTATCTTAAATGTGATTTTTTTTAATTTTTTATTTTTTTGAGACAGAGTCTCGCTGTTGTCCAAGCTGGAGTGCAGTGGCGCGATCTCTGCTCACTGCAAGCTCCGCCTCCCGGGTTCACGCCATTCTCCTTCCTCAGCCTCCCGAGAAGCTGGGACTACAGGCGCCCACCACCACGCCCGGCTAATTTTTTTGTATTTTTATTAGAGACGGAGTTTCACAGTGTTCGCCAGGATGGTCTCAATCTCCTGACCTCGTGATCCACCCGCCTCGGCCTCCCAAAGTGGTGGGATTACAGGCGTGAGCCACTGCGCCCAGCCTTTAAATGTGATTCTTAAAACCACCACCCCAGGGGCACAGCTGTATCCATCTTCACGAGGGTGGACATGCCATGTGTTCTGACGATGCGATACCTGGCACCTGAAGAAAGCACTCAGATACTAGGATAAAGAAGCCACTCCATGCAGACCTCTGAGTTGCCCTTACCTGAACAGGACTGGGTGCAGGATGACTTCCACCATGTTGGCTTTGCTGCTGTCCAGTGGGGGTAGCTGAAGGCTGAGGGTGTGGAGTATGTGGGTGCAGGGTAGCGTTAGGGTGCGCATACTGCTGAGCAAGGGAGCCCGTGGAAACTAAAGTGAAAGAAAAAGGAGCATGTACACAACCGATGTCTGACAACCTCCATCGCTCCTCTACACTTCATCAACTGAACTTTCTTGATGGTTACAATGCATAACTCACGCCACTACCAATTTCTATAGATGACTCCATTTAAACCATCCATTGTCTTGAAAAAATAAGTGTAGCTATTGCTTAACAGACTAGCATTTGGTTCATATAATACAGCTCTACATATGATATTAAAATCAAATTAGTTTGCATTTACTCTTAACGGTCACTAGGTTTTCCCAAAAAGGCAACTTGAAGGCATAGGCAGAAACTACTCAAACAAGTGCATTTTAGGTGCACACTCTTTAGCTCAAGGCCATCATCAGGCTAACCTCACCATGCTACTGCCCTGGAGCAATGTCCTGAGGGCACAGACTATATTGGGTGTGGTGGGGGATGGGGGTGCGGGCACTGTGTATGGTATGTGGCAAGGCCAGGGATCTATCATCAGGGCCGAAGGACCACAGTCTCTCTCAGCTAATCACAGGAGCCCTTCTGCCACTCAGTTTACTTTCCCAAGCCCTAATGGAGGATCTCCCATCTTTGCTTTATGAAATAAATATAGAAAAGTAAACTCCCTTCTGAGTGCCCCAGCCCTTTGGAAAGAAATTTACTAGACTAACTTCAAAGGACAACATGATGGGCCAGTTTAAATCAAAATAAAGATAAGAACTGAAAGCCAGTTCTTTGTGAATCTCAGCGTGGGCCAAACCTTGGTACAAAAACCATTTCTTCATGTCTTTCAGTTTTTTGTTTTTTGTTTTTTTTTGAGATATAAGTCTCACTCACTCTGTTGCCCAGGCTCACTGCAACCTCTGCCTCCCAGGTTCAAGCAATTCTCCTGCCTCAGCCTCCCGAGTAGCTGAGATTACAGGCATGTGCCACCACGCCCAGCTAATTTTTGTATTTTTAGTAGAGATGGGGTTTCGCCATGCTGGCCAGGCTGATCTCAAACTCCTGACCTCAAATGATCCGCCCACTTCAGCCTCCCAAAGTGCTGGGATTACAGACGTGAGCCACCGTGCCTGGCCTGTTCATGTGCTTCAAAAACAGTAAGTTGAGAATCAGAAGCAGAGTAGGATGTGTTCACTGCTTCCAGTGACTATGGACAGCACACCGATGATAAAAAACTAACCTCCACGAGGCAATGAGCTGAGAATAGAGCGTTCTCAAGACAACTCTAGCAAGGTATAGTTCCCAGCCCTCTCTTGAGAAACAAATCCTAAAATCCCTCAAGATAATAAGCCCATACACAGAAATGATTCCAAAATAGTTCCCCACATTCTTCATATAACGTGTTAGCAAACACAGACATATGCAGGACTGATTGGTGAGAGAAGCAAGCACAGCTTTGGGAAGAGGCACCCTAGTTCCAGCAGTCTGGTAGGCAAGGCTGCCGAGTCACCAGCATAGACGGCTCTGGGTATATTCCACGTAAATGGTGTGCAGAGGGTTAGGCTAGGCACATGGAGCAGTTCTATAATCCTAGGTGTTGTAGGGCTAAGGGCCACCAACTCTCCAGCCCTAACAGTTACGTCTCCAGCTGCAAAGCTATCTCTTAGCAGGGGAAAGGGCAAGGCAAAGAGCCAGTTCTAGGATCACCTGTGCATCCACTGCCAATGCCACAGCTGGCATTAATATTCCTTCATATCCAGTTTAGACTGGATACAGCAGCTTTGTTTATACACTGGGAAAATTTTCCAGACTGTAGGAATTAACATATGCCAGAATATTTTAACAAGAAAACTGTGGCAACATAGTCTCTGAATGTTTTTAAGAGTAGTGAACGTCTTCTGGGAGCTAGAACAAATGATGTACAAACGATGAAGCCTTCCTGAGCTTCACAGTCCCATAAGTCTATAAGACAGTCCTTTTTTTCTAACTTGGTGGCTTATTAACAGGCCCTCCATCATCATCATACTCATTAAGTTTACTTCCAGCTCCTCCAAGTTGTATAGGCACTGACTTGGTCTAAAAGATTTGATGTAAATTTCGAACCTGAGTTTGTTGTACTTGTAAAAATCTTACGTTCATTTTAAAAATGTATTTATTTGTTTAATTTTTGACAGAGTCTCGCTCTGTTGCCCAGGCTGGAGTGCAGGGGCACCATCTCGGCTCACTGCAACCTCCGCCTCCCGGGTTCAAGCGATTCTCCTGCCTCAGCCTGCCGAGTAGCTGGAACTATAGGCAAGCATCACCATGCCTGGCTGATTTTTGTATTTTTAGTAGAGACGGGTTTCACCATGTTGGCCAGGCTGGTCTCGAACTACTGGCCTCAAGTGATCCATCCGCCTCGGCCTCCCAAAGTGCTGGGATTACAGGCATGAGCCACTGCGCCCGGCCATGTTTGTTTATTTTTGAGACCCAGTCTTGCTGTCACCCAGGCTGGAGTGCAGTGGAGCGATCTCGGCTCACTGCAGCCTCCGCCTCCTGGGTTAAAGTGATACTCCTGCTTCAGCCTCTGAGTAGCTGGGATTACCTGGCTAATTTTTGTATTTTTAGTAGAGACGGGGTTTCACCATGTTGGCCAGGCTGGTCTCAAACTCCTGGCCTCAAGTGATCCGTCCATCTCGGCCTCCCAAAGTGTTGGGATTACAGGTGTGAGCAACTGCACCCGGCCTAAAAATTTATTTTTGAATAATAAAAAAGCCACATGTAGCTAAGTAGCTAATACGGTGGACAGTGCAGTTTTGTTGTTGTTTTGAGACGGAGTCTCGCTCTGTTGCCCAGGGTGGAGTGCAGTGGCGTGATATCAGCTCACCGCAACCTCTGCCTCCCGGGTTCAAGCGATTCTCCTGTGTCAGCCTCCTGAGTAGCTAGGACTACAGGCGCGCCTGGCTAACTTTTTTGTATTTTTAGTAGAGACAGGGTTTCACCATGTTGGTCTGGCTGGTCTTGAACTCCTGACCTCAGGTGATCCACTTGTCTTGGCCTCCCAAAGTGCTGGGACTACAGGCGTGAGCCACCGCGCCCAGCCACAAAATGTTCTACTGGATAGTGATGTCTACAGTTGTCCATGGTCCCCTACTGTTAAACCATTAGCACTAACCCCTACCGCCACCCCAGCCTCTTAAAAATGTCATTTGTAACAATCTAAATCTGTCTAAGGAAAAGCAATTCCCAAATCCCAAATTCTGTTCATGGAGGTTCATAAAGATACAGTACGGAATCTCAGAGGTTTTTGTTTTTTTTTTGTAACTTTATTTATTCAAGAAATTTTGTACTAAAAAGTTTGAAATTTCACTTTTAAATACCTTCTAAGCAAAGTATTAAGAATATTAAAAAGTAACAATAAATATAGAAAATAATTATGCCCATGAAATCTCATAATTTAAGTTATTCATCAACTGGAAAAATGTAAAAATCTTAAAATCATTTGAAGAGAAAAGTAAAGATGAAATATTTTTACTATGCATTTTTAAAAGGCATCTCTGCAATTTAAGTTTACCAGTATTTAAAGACTATAATACGGTTTTCTAATCTATAGCTAATTTGCATGCATAGCACAAATACCCAAGCTGAGTGAATGTACATAGGCTTTGTTTAAAAAAACAAAAACAAAATCCTTTCCCTACCTAAATACCGGTAAACTTGCAAGGCATTGATTAAAAACAAGACGAACAAAAACCACAAAGGATGTGTAAAATATGTATCATACGTTGTAAACAAAATTTAAAAAGAGTTAATTAGAAATATTTCCCTTTGTTTTTTTGTTCTAGCTCAAAAGATCTGAAAGAAGTACCTTAATCAGGAATTCTTTTCCTCCTTGAATTTGAAATTGGGAGAAATGGAGCCGGGCACGGTGGCTCACGCTTGTAATCCCAGCATTTTGGGAGGCCGAGGCGGGCGGATCACCTGAGGTTAGGAGTTCGAGACCAGCTTGGCCAACACGGCGAAACCCTGTCTCTACTAAAAATACAAAAATTAGCTGGGCGTGGTGGCAGGCACCTGTAATCACAGCTACTAGGGAGAGTGGGGAAGGAGAATAGCTTGAACCCGGGAGGTGGAGGTTGCAGTGAACCGACATCACACCATTGCACTCCAGCTTGGGCAACAAGAGCGAAACTCCGTCTCAAAAAATAAAATAAACAAATAAATAAATAAATAATAATAATAAATTGGGAGAAATGTGAAACTTATACTTTAAATCAATACTAGTAACAAAAATACAGTTCGGTTCCTTGATAGGCCAGTTAAGTGACAGTGACACAAAGCAGGGTAGGAAGAAAATTTAAAAGCCAAGGAAAAAAATAGCTTGGAAGACAAGAGAGACAAAAAAGGAACCAGGGGCCGAGGTAGGTGATCACGAGGTCAGGAGTTCAAGACCAGCCTGGCCAAGATGGTGAAACCCTGTCTCTACTAAAAATACAAAAAAAATTAGCTGGGTGTGGCAGCAGGCGCCTGTAATCCCAGCTACTCTGGAAGCTGAGGCAGAGAATTGCTTGAACCTAGGAGGCGGAGGTTGCAGTGAGCCGAGATCGCACCACTGCACTCCAGCCTGGACGACAGAGTGAGACTCCATCTCAAAAGAAAAAAAAAAAAAAAGGAACCAAGATAAGGTAAAGAAGGAAAAAACACAGGAGAATCAGGGAAAAGGAGAGTGGAGTGGGAAGGGCAGTGGGTTCTGACCCACACATATTATTTCACTGCTTTTGTTATATATGCTCATTCTGGCTAAAGATCCCAGAGAGGTTAAAAATAAAGTTAATTTTATTTGTAATACTGATTTATTCATCAGTTAAACTTCTATTTATAAAACTTTAGTCTTCATAAAATCTTTTAGATTAAAGATAATCAAAGACATATGCTTCTTTGGTCCAGACCTAGTCCAGAAGTTTCCCACTCAGTGTTCCTTGACATAAATATTTAAGATTCTAAACATATGATCAGTCAAAAATCCTTAATAACACTAACCACATTCCAGAACTAGTTTCCTCAGCTGTGATCTCACTGAAGCAAATTAAGTACAGAAAGCTGTGTGTTTAATTTGTAACTAGGTTTTGTCATTTTGACTTTGGATGCACAAGTCATAAGAGATCACCAGCATTGCAAAACTTATAAAACAAAACAAAATCTTCCAACTTGTAAATCTGATGTTAAATTCAGAAAAAGGGAAGTGAAGGAAAGTTGAAAACTCTAAAAGGGGAATAAAAGGCAACTTGACCAAACCATCATAAAATGGCTTAGAACAGGGGGAAATGAAGCAGCAGATTAAATTAGCAGCCCAACTGTTAGTTTCTTTTAAAAAGTACTGATACTCCCTTTTAGGGGAAGTTGTGCTAAGGCAATTAAGGCTTAGGTGTTAATGATTAAGGACCTTAGCTACTTACCAGGAAAACAACACCAAACTACTAACAGAGACAGTAAGATGGTGAGGATAACTACATTTGAGACCTCAAATTGAGTACATAATAAAATCACCTACTATCTTTTACACACTACAATCACAGACATAGTTTCCCCTTTAATAGTATATACATACAGCAAGACTCCTTTTTAAAGAGCATCTATTAAAGGATTAAATTTAACATTTCCTAGCACCAAATAAATTATATATACACACATACATATATATATATATACACACACACACACACACACACACATATATGTATGTATGTATGTATCAGCTTATTTTTGGATACCAAGTCATGGCATAATTAACAAAGATTTAAGGTCAAATGCATTTTAAATGCTAATATGGCATTTAGTAGAGTCAGACATTGAGTCACCCCAAAATAACTCAAAATGTGCCTAACATAAAATTTGAATCCTTAATATCCTCTAGAACACAACATTTCATACAAGGTGACAATATTAATGGCACAAATTTCTAAAGGATTTCTACAAATATTAGTACTCCTTCCTATTTAAATACCAAAGTCCAAGACTAGCCTTATTTTTATTTTTTATTTTGAGACAGAGTCTCTCTCTGTTGCCCAGGCCTGAGTGCAGTGGTACAATCTCAGCTCACTGCAACCTCCACCTCCAGGGTTCATGGAACTCTTGTGCCTCCGCCTCCCAAGTAGCTGGGACTACAGGTGCGTGCCACCATGCTTTGGTAGAGATAGGGTTTCACCATGTTGGCCAGGCTGTTCTCGAACTCCTGGCCTCAAGCAATCCACCCACCTCGGCCTCCCAAAGTACTGGGATTACAGGCGTGAGCCACCACGTCCGGCCCTTATTTTTACAAATTGCCCTACAAATAGGAAAAATGTACCTTAAAAGTTCATTTCCAGAAGAAAGCTCTGCCCAGACTTTCTCCATGAAGGAGCAACTATTTCTGTACTTTTTGCCAGGTGGGGAGAGGGGACCTGTGCTGTCCAAGATAATGACCTGAGAGGTCATGATCTCTTGCTTAAGCTCAAGATATCCTGAGGGGTCTGCTTCCTGAATATTTTATTTTTTGAGACAGAATTTCGCTCTGCCACCCAGGCTGGAGTGGAGTGGCACGACTTCGGCTCACTGCAACCTCTGCCTCCCAAGTTCAAGCAATTCTCCTGTCTCAGCCTCCCTAGTAGCTGAGATTATAGGCGCATGCCAGCATGCATGGCTGATTTTTGTATTTTTTAGTAGAGATGGAGTTTTACCATGTTGGCTAGGCTGGTCTTGAACTGCTGACCTCAGATGATCCACCCGCCTCAGCCTCCCAAAGCACTGGGATTACAGGTGTGAGCCACCGTGCCTGGCCCTTCCTGAGTATTTTAAACCTTTAGCCATGCACAGGACTGAAAAGTTTTTCCCTTAGTATTTCATCAATCCTATTCAATTAAAAATCCTGGTAGGCATAAATTTCATCTTATCAGAATATAAATAAACATTTTAAGTTTATACCAAGCTTGTGGCTTGGGGTGTGTGTGTGTGTGTGTGTGTGTGTGTGTGTGTGTATAAATAAACATTTTAAATTTATACCAAGCTTGTGGCTTGGGTGTGTGTGTTTGTGTGTGTGTGTGTGTGTGTGTGTGTGTGTGTGTATAAAGCTGTTTAGGAAGTTTCTCTAACAAGGAAAATATTAGGCATTTCCCAGTCACATTTGCTTGGTATGCAAAAATTGATTTCTGAAACAACTCCATTTTTCATTAACTCCAGCCTTCTTAAATTGGGTATTTCCATTTTAAAAACTGAATTATTTATATATATAAGTACTTTCAATAATTTGACTGGCACAAGGAAAATATTGTTCAACAAGTCTACTCCCTTAACATGTATCCTTTAAAAAGTGTTTTACTGTACAATTAAAAATTAGTATAAAAAACCCAACTCACTGGCAAAGTAGAAAGAAGGGCTTGTCTCCTTGTTGTATGGTAATTTGGGACATGCTGAATTTGGGAAATAGAAAGGTAAATTAGCCTTTTGAGGTGTGCATTTTCCAAATTTTCTGGAAAGGTTGACATATTAGTAATTTCTTTTTGTATTCATGCATAATTCATTTTCATAAGAGATGACAAGCACTTTAAACACTGCTACAGAATTTTAAAAGAAAGGACTAAACCGGAAGACACTGTTCTTCTGTACTTAGGTGTCAAGTTGTCATGCTGACTTGCTTAAAAGTAAAAGGAATAAAATCATTATCTAATAAAAACACCAACATGGCATTCTACTGAACAACCTTGATATAAATCATGTACCAAAATAAAACTATTTTACAAGTTTAATTCAATAGACACACAATTTTGCAAAAACATTACTAATGGAAATGTCATTATCCTGAAAGATTATCTAGTAATGGATCCAAAAATTTAGGATCATAGCAAGAATATAAACATGAATATTATTTCTTATTAAAACATGTCTACATAAAGGGGTAGGGTATTTGAGTGTATTTAAATACACCTGGAAGGATACACATCAAAATGTTAAAAGGCAGTTGTCAGGTGGAGGGATTATGGATGCTTTTCATTTTTTTTTTTTTTAACTTAACTATATTTTCTTACTTATCTGCATTAAACTACCAAAAACAAATCAAAAAAGGATTCTGGATCTAATTCTTCCTAATGGCTCTAGTTAGTCGGAAAAGTTGTATTATTACTGTTTCTGAAAGGTAAAAGCATCACCATAAAACAAAATTAGATGGATTAGAAGAGTAGATGTGAGGCTGGGCGTGGTGGCTCACATCTGTAATCCCAGCACTTTGGGAGGCCTAGGCAGACAAATCACAAGGTCAGAAGTTCGAGATCAGCCTGGCCAAGACGGTGAAACCCCGTCTCTACTAAAAATACAAAAATTGGCCGGTCGTGGTGGCGCACACCTGTAGTCCCACCTACTCGGGAGGCTGAGGCAGAAAAACCGCTTGAACCTGGGAGGCAGATGTTGCAGTGAGCTGAGATCGCACCGCTGCACTTCAGAATGGGTGACAGAGTGAGACTACCTCAAAAAAAAAAAAAAAAAAAAAAAAAGAGTAGATGTGAGAGGAAAAAAAATTAAAGTAACTTCTTAGAAGGGATGGGGTAGAGGCAATGATGGAAGTTAGATTAAGAGACATCAAAGAGGCCGGGGCAGTGGCTCACGCCTGTAATCCCAGCACTTTGGGAGGCTGAGGTGGGTGGATCACCTGAGGTCGGGAATTCAAGACCAGCCTGACCAACATGGTGAAACCCTGTCTCTACTAAAAACACAAAAATTAGCCAGGTGTGGTGGCGGGCACCTGTAGTCCCAGCTACTCAGGAGGCTGAGGCAGGAGAACTGCTTGAACCCAGGAGGCGGAGTTTGCAGGGAGCTGAGATCGCGCCACTGCACTCCAGCCTGGGTGGCAGAGGGAGACTCCTTCTCAAAAATTAAAAAAAAAATAAAAAATAAATAAAAAATAAAAAAAAAAAAAGAGGCTGGGCACAGTGGCTCACGCCTGTAATCCCAGCACTTTGGGAGGCTGAGGCAGGCGGATCACGAGGTCAGGAGATCAAGACCATCCTGGCTAACACAGTGAAACCCCATCTCTACTAAACAAAATACAAAAAATTAGCCGGGCATGGTGGCGGGCGCCTGTAGTCCTAGCTACTCGGGAGGCTGAGGTAGGAGAATGGCGTGAACGCAGGAGGCGGAGCGTGCAGTGAGCTGAGATCACGCCACTGCACTCCAGCCTGGGCGACAGGGAGAGACTCCATCTCAAAAAAAGAGACATCAAAGAGATAAGGTTTTTGACAAAAGCCCTTTCTAAGATAGCTAGAAAGAGGTCAAGGTCAATACTTTTTTAGAATAAAATAATTATCCTATTTTATCATTTAACTGTTCAGTAATGTTAGCATATGTGTATTAAACATACTAAAAATTTAAAAACAATAATCAGGATTTCATTTTGCAGTCATTAGTGGTCCTATGTTTTCAATGCCTTTGGCTATGGCTATAACAATTAATGAATGAGAAAAGGTGACATAAAATTGTCACCAACATCTGGGTGCATGTTCTTCTGTTTGCATTAAATGTTTTAAAAACCTAGATATGATGTAGCTTAAAAAGAAAAGCACAATTCATACTCAAAGTATTTGGTTCCTTTGAGAAAATTTATGACAATATATTTAATATATTTATAAAATATAAATTGTTCAGGGAAGATGAGTATAAAATTAACACTTCTATGTAAGTTTGTTGTAGTTTATAAGAATGTACTTCAAATTTTGTTTATATTTGATATAATAAGGCTTTGAAAGTCTAATAATTCAAATAAATCACTGCAGATTTAATGAAGAACATGCTTAAGCAGATTAAATTATGGCTTATGATGGCATAGAACAAAACAATTCTTTCTTATGTTTTCTTTTTTTTAAATAGAGACAGGGTCTTGCTCTGTCACCCAGGCTGGATTACAGTGGTGCCATGATAGCTCACTGTAGCCTCAAAGTCCTGGACTCAAGTGATCCTCCCATCTCAGCTTCCTGTGTAGGTGGGACTACAGGCATGTGCCACCATGACTGGGCTTTTTTTTTTTTTTTTTTTTTTTTTTTTTGGTAGAGATGGGATCTCGCCATCTTGCCTAGACTGGTCTTGAACACCTGGGCTAAGCGATCCTCCACTTCAGCCTCCCCAAGTTCTTGGATTACAGGTGTCAGCCACCATGCCCAGCTCCTAGTGTCCTTTTTAGGGTCTTAAGCACCACAAAGGGAATCTTGATTAACTAGTGACAATCACAACAAGTCCACAGCCTTGCTCCTAGCCTGCCTCCATACAGACAGCAATTAAATACCACCTGTGTAAACTGCAGGAGAGTAGTTCAGATTTGGCTGAGTAACTTTTTCCTGGCATGAAAGAACCGGCTCTAATGACTAGTTCATTCCAGATTTCACTGGACATTAGATCTAGTGCTTTGTTTTGTTTGCAACATTTCCTATTTGCCCACACATAAATGGACTTTGGGGTCTAAGGCCCCACTGCTCTTCAAATGGACATGTTCTAGGAAGTAGTTATGAAAATCATCTGTACCTCAAACACAGTATTTACCCTATAGGCTGTTTCAAAACCAATGAACATTCATCCAAAAGATGAAGCCAGATGTTGGCAGTGAATGAACACAATGAGGAGAAAGATTCGGCTCAACATTACAGTATTATTGCTACAATGTCTCAAAAGCATGCATACACAAATAACTACTCTCCAAATGCAATGGAAATTTTAGCTTAAAAGTTTCAGATCTGATTCCAAGGGGAGTATGCCAGAAAATGGAAGGAAAGAGATGTTCTTTCCACTTGTTAAATCATGATGTATTCACCAGAAATGTATAAACAATCATAATGAACTTTTAACCTAAGCCTTTAGCAAACAGGAAAATTGTTAAAATATATACAAGTTGCATAAAAGCCAGCATGATAAATCAATCGTGCCTTTGCACGCATATTCAGTCCCCGTTAAGACAACTAAAGACAAGTCAAATGACGGGGTCATAACCAAAATAATAAACCAAGTTAGTTTGTCAGTATCTTTTACAATTAAATTACGGATGGGCCTCTTGAAAAAAATGTTTTCCAAAATGTAGCAATCACACAATTTTTTATTTAAAATGCGTAATCCACAATACAAAATTGAAAGTGATAATGTGGAAAATTAAGACTGGACTTAACTGTTTTATAAAACTAAACACCTTTGATCATATACAAATTCCTATCAGCAGTGAGCCTTTGTGGCAGACAAGAACCTCCAGGAAGAAAGCATAAGCTGTGGGTTACAGGTGACAGGAAGGATGATTGCTGCTGCCCAAGTCCTATTCTCATTAACCTACGGAATGTTAAAACTTTTATTCTTCAAAAAGGACAGAGGTGGTATGAAAAGTAGTAATGTCTCAAGAAGAAGGTTTGCCAGAAATCTGTAAATTCTTTTTTTTTTTTTTTTTTTTTGGAGATGGAGTCTCACTCTGTCGCTCAGGCTAGAGTGTAGTGGCGCGATCTCGGCTCACTGCAACCTCTGCCTCCCGGGTTCAAGCAATTCTGTTGCCTCAGCCTCCGAAGTAGCCGGGACTACAGGCACATGCCACCACACCCGGCCAATTTTTTGGATTTTTAGTAGAGATGGGGTTTCACCATGTTGGCCAGGCTGGTCTCGATCTCCTGACCTCATGATCCGCCAGCCTTGGCCTCCCAAAGTGCTGGGATTACAGGCGTGAGCCACTGCGCCCAGCCTATAAATTCTTAAATAACTCAATTTTGCCTAAACATACTCGTTCAGGACATCTAAACTTAAAAAATAAAAATTTTATATTCTTAGTATTTCAAAAAGTTCAAAGAGGCTTTAAAAATGAAATGCCCATGTAGTTACATGTAACCATAATCTCATTCTCATAGCAGTACACTTTTCAACTGTATGAATAAACCAAAATTATCCCCTACTCCAAACAACCAAAAACGCAAATAGGAAAACTAAACGACACTACGGTAGTTCTCAGAAATATTCAGAACAAAACATCTTAATGAAATCAGTACTATTTAAAAACATATTCTGAAAAACATTTGAAGCAATCCATTAATTCTGTATCATAAGATATACAAATGGACATTTTATTTTAAATTATCAACAGTGAAAAATCTATTATTTTGGTACTTTAGACAGCTGCTAAGTTGATCTACACAAATTTCTCTGTTTAGTCACAAAACGAAGATGGGTTTTTTTGCTTATTATTCTCACATATAAATACTGCTTAGTTTTACATAAAATACTTCTCATTTTCATTTCAGCATTCTGTTCACATTGGTTATATTTAAAGTGTGACTCATGTCTAAAATATATCTAATATGACATAATATTCAACCATTAAAATACAGCATGATGTAGAAACATAGTATTATCATTATAACAAACAGCAAAAAAAATATGTAATGCCAGTGACCCTCAGATCAAGTAGTGAAGCAAAATGTTTTCATGCTGGAGAACACCTTTATGCTTTTATTATTATAAAATTCTCTTGCATGTCGTAGGCAGGATATACCAAAGCATAATATTGATGAGGAAGAGGAGAAAGGTACCTTTCTCCACAAAGATGCTTTGCCATTATATACATCATTACATTTTAGTTAAAGCAGGAAAGAGATCTGAAGACCAGGTACAGAAGTAGAAACTATTTGCCAAAAGTTATAAAGCAAGTCAGGCAAAGAAATGGGTTCATCTTTTCCTTCAGATTCTTGACCCTCAATGTCATAAAAGGTCAGGTTATTCTTAGATAGAGTATGTTTTCAGAAACTTAAATTAAGAAGAGTCACACACACTGGAAGAGACAAACAAAGTGCTTCCTACCATACATCGCATGCGTCTGCTCATGAGCCCCGTACTGAGTTGCTGAAGAAGATACTAAACCAGGCTGGGCGTGTGTTGGTGGTGCCATCATTCTAGCATTACCCTGTATTACAGGACTATAGACATGAGGATGCTGTGTTCAAACAAAAAATAAAGAAAGCACATTAACACTGCAAATAGAGCCAAGCAGACTTTAGTTAAGATTTTTAACTCCATGGTTTCCAGATTTCCAGAAACAGCTGTAAACTCTCAAATCTTTCTTGGCTGTTTCCTCTGAACCTCTTACAATCATCAGTAACCTTCGAATATATATTGAAAAGGGTCCCCAAGTCCTTAGCTATCTACCCTACCATCACACAAAAGCAAAAATTATAAAGGAAAATCCCTTTACCATATTAAAAGTTTTTTTATATGGTACAAAAATTAAGAGTTAGGCCTTACCAGCCTTACCTGAGACTGATAATGTGGCACATGCTGAACAAGGGGCTGATTTGGGAACTGCTGAGGACTGTAGGCAACATATTGCGTGGAGTAAGCTGGTGGGGTGGCTGCAATCGGTGGGCCCGCTGCTGACGCTGGGTGCATCATGGCACTCTGATGATGCTGGTCTTGCCGCTGTTGGGGCATATTTGGTACTGCAGAAAAAAAAGCAGACTGCCTATTAAACAGTATCTCCACAGCATAATACATGTGTTCACATGGTCTAGGAGGCTCTGAATGATTTGACCCTGAATCTGCGTCTCTGATGCCATCTCATACCACTCCCACTTCTGCCACTCTGGGTTATTTTCCTATCATGCATGCTAGTCCTCAGCCTCAAACACCAGTTCCCAAATCCCAGCTGGGATAATTCTGCTTCATCCTTCAGGTGTCAGCTTGAAAGCAACTTCCTCAGAGGGACTTTCTCTCATGGCCCTCAGACTTGATCAAGTCCCTGTAACAGACTCTCACAGCATTATGAAATCGCTTCTCATATGGTATTTTCTGGGACGGGCACTGCATTCATTTTGAGAAAAACAAAGGCATGACCAAAGAGCCAAAACAGATCCAACACTAACTTTCTATCTTCCTTAATTTCCAACCACTGAATCCTTGTAACACTTCCCATTCTTTCTCAAACCCAGTATAACACAGCACCATGTAGCATATACCAGGTTTCTAAATAATAGTTCTTTTAAAAGATTACTTTATGTCTTATCTTAATCCACACAGGTGGTCTGCATGTAAGGGCCTCGCCCTGTTACAACTCTAGTTAAGAATTCAGCTCAACTGTCATCTCCCATGTGAGGTTTTTTTCCAGTTCCTCCAGCACGAGCTAGCTACTTCCCATGTGCCTCTTTCCTCACACATTTCTTACAGCACTATTGTCTGTGACCTGTTTCTGGTGTGGCATTAACCAAGCCACTTCAGGAAAATAATTGTGGAATGACTGCTTACAACTAGGTATAAGGCACAAAGAATATAGAACTTGTTCATAAAATCCTAAGAACTGATTATATAATTAACTGCAAATTTGTGGCTAAACATTCACTAACTGTTGCTGAAATTTGGGAGAGCTAGTTACATATTATTTTATCTATGTAGGAAAGCAAACCTGAACATTTTTTTATATTTTATCTTGGATGCACGTATTTAAAAACCACCTCCTTCTGGTAAACAAAAAAGCCACTGAAAACTACTTATCACTTTTATCAAATGAAAGTTTGCCCGATTATGCTAACTGAGCTTAAACTATTCACTATTATTACTTTGTTACTTATTACCTTCCTGTATATTTAAAAAATAATTAAAAAGCTAGTCAAGTATACTATGGTGCTATTATTTAGATATCATGTGTTTGTCTCCACTAATTCTCATGTTAAAACATGATCCCCAGGCCAGGCGCAGTGGCTCACGCTTATAATCCCTACACTTTAGGAGGCCAGGGCGAGCGGACTGCTTGAGCTCATGAGTTTGGGACCACCCTGGGCAACATGGGGAGACACTGCCTCCACAAAAAATACAAAAATATTAGCCAGCTGCGGTGCTGTGCATCTATGGTCCCAGCTACTCAGGAGGCTGAGGTGGGAGGAACTTTTCAGCCAGGGAGGCAGATGCCGCGGTAAGCCGTAACTGCACCACTGCACTCCAGCCTCGGCGAAGAAGTGAGACCCTGTCTCAAAAAAGGGGAGGGTAGGGGACAGGAGGGGAAGAAAAGAAACCAAGCCCTTGACTCTGCCTGTTATTTGAAAAATGCTAAAAATATTTTTATCCAATACCTCAAAGGATTGGAATTTAGTAAAGGAGCAGGGTAAAAACTAACATATAAACAGCAATAGCCTTCATATATGGTACTTCATAAGTAATTACTTAGAAGATGCAATGGAAGAGAAGTCCCTGGGTTACACTAACATTAAAAAAGAACCTACCTAAGGCATACACTGAAAAAAATGTACAAAACCTTAAAGATAAACTTTATTTTTATTTATTTATTTTCTTTGAGACAGAGTGTCGCTCGGTTGCCCAAGCTGGAGTGCAGTGGTGCAATCTTGACTCACTGCACTCTCTGCCTCCTGGGTTCAAGCGATTCTCCTACCTCAGCCTCCAGAGTAGCTGGGACTACAGGTGCACACCACACCCAGCTAATACTTTTTTTAAAATATTTTTAGTAGAGACGGGGTTTCACCATGTTGGCCAGGCTGGTCTCGAACTCCAGACCTCAGGTGATCTGCCCACCTCTGCCTCCCAAAGAGGTGGGATTACAGGCGTCAGCCACTGCATCCAGCCAAGGATAAACTTTAATATGCTATTGAAGGTATACTTTGTTCTTGAACAGGAAGACTCAACATCATGAAGACATCAATCATTTCTTCTCAAGTTAATTTATAAGTTTATTGTGATTCTGGCCTGCCATGGTGGCTCATGCCTGTAGTCCCACCACTTTGTGAGGCTGACACAGGCAGACTGCTTGAGCTCAGGAGTTCGACACCAGCCTGGGCAACATGGTGAAACCCTGTCTCTGCAAAATATACAAAAATTAAGCCAGGCACGGTGGTGCTTGCCTGTAGTCCCAGCTACTTGGGAGGCTGAGGTGGGGGGATTGCCTTAGCTCGGGAAGTTGAGGCTGCAGTATGCCCAGATCATCCCACTGCACTCCAGCCTAGGTAACAGAGCCAGACCTTGTCTCCAAAAAATTAAAAAAAAAAAAAAAATTCCAGAAGTTTATACTGATAGTAAGAACCAACGACAAAAAAACCACCTCACTGGTTACCTTTGGAGGATAACAGAAAACCAACTCATTATTTTGAAGACTGCCTTAAAAAGGGAAATGATTAACATTTTAAATTACTTTTCCTAAGAAAGCTATACCTCAGGGTAACCAAACAGCTGGATATGGGAAAGTTTTTCTTTATAGAAATATTCCAGGCAATAATTGAAGAAGGGATGAAAGGAAAAGAATGTCACCATTTTACAACCCCTAAGGAAATAACTGATCTTGGGCTAGACAATTATCATCAATGGCTGCTAAAAAACACACCAAAAAAATTAAGGCGCTAAAGGGACATATTATCTCCTGGATAGATAAAACATCTAGGAACTCACTGACTACTCCTATCAGGAAAAAGACTGATTACATGACTCCTCACTGAAAGTACACACATCTGTGAAACATTGGGGAAAAAAAAAAAAAACCCAATCTGATCAAGCCTTCATTATTTACTATCAGTTTACAAAGATTACAGGGGACAGAAGTCTACTTTAAATATCAACACAGGGATACAGTCAGCAAAATTCAGATCGTGGGAAAAAAATACAAGACAAGCTGGATATGAACAAGACAAAAACTAAGGGAAAAACTGTAATTAAAACTGTGAGGGCTGAGTGCAGTGGCTCATGCCTGTAATCCTGGCACCTTGGGAGTCAAGGCAGGCAGACTGCTTGAGCTCAGGAATTCGAAACCCTGTCTCTACAAAAAATACAAAAATTAGCCAGGTATGGTGGCGCGCACCTTTAGTCCCAGCTACTTGGGAGGTTGAGGTGGGAGGACCACCTAAGCCCAATTGGTAGAGACTGCACTGAGCTGAAATCATGCCACTGCACTCCAGCTTGGGTGACAGAGTTAGACACTGTCTCAAAAAACAAACAAACAAAAAAACCTATGACTTGGCTGGGTGTGATGGCTCATCCAGCACCTCCTAAAGTGCTGGCCTGTAATCCTAGCACTTTAGGAGGCTGAGGTAGAAAGATAACTTAAGCCCTGGAATTTAGGACTAGCCTGGGCAAGATAGAAAGATGGTGAGACTCTGTCTCAAAAAAAAACAAAAAACAAACAAAAAAACAAAGAAGAAGAAAGACAAGACAAGAAAAGAAAAGCTGGCAAGGTGGCATGTGCCTGTAGTCACAGTTACTTGAGAGGCTGAGGAGGGAGGATCCTTTGAGACCAGGAATTCGCAGCAGCAGTGAGCTATGATTGCACTACTGCACTCCAAGCCTGGGCAACAAAGCCAGACCCCATCTCAAAAACAAAAAACAAAACCAAAACCAACTTAAAGATACACACTAAAATGTTGGTGGATAAACTGATGCAATGTCTAGAATTTGCTTCAGAATAATCCAGTGGACTCAAAGCTTTTAAGAGACAATGGGTAGGGATGAAACATGACTGGCCTAGGTTATTAATGTCTCAATACATTCGTAATAAAAAGTTACCGCAAGGCTGAGAGCGATGGCTCACACCTGTAATCCCAGCACTTTGGGAGGCCGAGGCGGGTGGATCATTTGAGGTCAGGAGTTCAAGACCGGGCTGGCCAACATGGTGAAACCCCATCTCTATTAAAAATACAAGGCCGGGCGCAGTGGCTCACACCTGTAATCCCAGCACTTTGGGAGGCCGAGGCGGGCGGATCACGAGGTCAGGAGATCGATACCATCCTGGCTAACACGGTGAAACCCTGTCTCTACTAAAAATACAAAAAAATTAGCCGGGTGTGGTGGCGGGCGAATGTAGTCCCAGCTACTCAGGAGGCTGAGGCAGGAGAATGGCATGAACCCAAGAGGCGGAGCTTGCAGTGAGCCGAGATCGCATCACTGCACTCCAGCCTGGGCAACAGAGCGAGACTCTGTCTCAAAAAAAAAAGGCTGGGCTACTTGGGAGGCTGAGGCAGGAGAATTGCTTGAACCCCAGAGGGGGAGGTTGCAGTGAGTTGAGATTGTGCCACTGTACTCCAGCCTAGGTGACAGAGCCAAGATTCCATCTCAAAAAAAAAAAAAAAAAGTTACCACAATATGAAACAATTAAAAAAAAAAAAAGACTTCAACATATAAACAAATCCAAATTGCAAGCCTGACTTGGACCCTAATTGGAACAAATTATTGTAAAAAGATTTATCTTTTCTGTTTCTTTTTTTTTTTTTTTTTTTTAAGAGGGAATCTTGCTCTGTCACCCAGGCTGGAGTACAGGTGCGCAATCTCAACTCAACTACAACTTCCGCCTCCTGGGTTCAAGCAATTCTTCTGCCTCAGTCTCCCAAGTAGCTAGAATTACAGGTGCCTGCCACCGGGCCCAGCCAAGATATATTTTAAAGATCAGTTGGTTTTAAAAAGGCAACTGATTTTTTTAGTAGTAAGTTAATTATAGAGTTCATATGGAAAAATAA
Source organism: Homo sapiens (assembly GCF_000001405.40). Classification (NCBI taxonomy): domain Eukaryota; kingdom Metazoa; phylum Chordata; class Mammalia; order Primates; family Hominidae; genus Homo; species Homo sapiens. The sequence goes on from NC_000012.12 coordinate 111,475,744, forward strand.
ACAGAAAATTCAAGGTAATCTGAAAAAAAAAATCAATGTTGGCAGTGAGTGGATGAGAAGGTAGTCCTATTAGATTAGTGAAGCAGAGTGAAAAATCCAGAAACAAATTCAACCACAAAAAGACACTTGTTATATGATAAAATGGCATTTCATATCAGTTTGTATGACCATAATGGAATTACATTATTATCTATCCATCTATGCGCACGCATACACACACACTTTAAATACAGGGTCTCCTTCTGTCACCCAGGCTGGAGTACAGTGGTACAATCACAGCTCACTGCTGCTTTAAACTACTGGGCTCAAGCAATTCTCCTTCCTCAGCCTCTCAAGTAGTTAGGACTACAGGTGTGTGCCACCACACCCAGCAAATTTTTAAATTGTTTTGTAGATATGGGGTTTTCCTACATCACCCAGGTTGGTCTTGAACTCCTGGCCTCAAGCGATCCTCCTGCCTTGGCCTCCCAAAGCTCTGAGGTTACAGGTATGAGCCACTGTTCCTGGTCAATATGATATACTTAGTAGATGATAAGTATTTGAACATAATCCAACAACCATTCATGATTAAAAAGAAAACAAACCCACCTCTGCAAATTAGGAACTGAAGTAACACCTAACTGTATGCTTAATAGTGAAAGACAATGTCTCACCCCTAAAAATGGGAGCATGGCAAAATCTCATGCCTTTTTCAGTAATGCACCAGTACAATAAGACAAAAAAAAAAAACCCAAAAACACCAACATGGTGATTAGATCATGATTGTATGTTTAAGTCTTAAAGGGCTGCCAGAAACAGTGGGTTTACCAACACATCAAGACACAAGGTCAATATTCAAAAATCAAGTGCATCTCTATTTACGAATAAACAAACGTTGAAAGTTTTTAAAATATAACTCACAACAGCACAAAACAGATGAAATATTAAGGGATAAATTTAAGAAAGCAGGCACAAAACTGATACAAAGAAAACTAGAAAACACTGGTGAAACTTAAGACTTAAATAAATGGAGCAGTATATGATGACCTCAATGAAGATTCCATATTGTTAAGATATTTCTCCCAGAACTGATATAAAGATTCAGTGCACAATCCCAAGCTGATTCTAAAATTTATTTGCAAATTCAAAGAACGCAGAATAAGAGTAATTTTGACGAGAATAAAACTGGGAGACTCATATGAACTTAAAGGTTGGTTACAAAGTAACAGCAATAAAGAGAGAATTGGCATAAGGATATATACAAAGATCAATACAACAAAACAGTTCACAAATAGACACACATACAATACAGTCAACTGAATTCAATAAAGCTACTATGGCTGGGCGCAGTGGCTCATGCCTGTAATCCCAGAACTTTGGGAGGCTGAGATGAGCAGATCACCTGAGGTCAGGAGTTCGAGACTAGCCTGGCCAACATGGTGAGACCCTGTCTCTACTAAAAAAAAAAAAAAAAAAAATACAAATTAGCTGGGTGTAGTGGCGGGCACCTGTAATCCTAGCTACTCGAGAGGCTGAGGCAGAATCGCTTGACCCTGGGAAGTGGAGGTTGCAGTGAGCCAAGGTCACACTACTGCACTCCAGCCTGGGTAACAAGATCGAGACTCTTGTTTCAAGAACAGAAAAAAAATAAAGCCACCAATGGAAAACAGAGGCTGGTGCCAGAGAAACCGAGTAAATATTTATGGTGGAGAAAATGAAGCTAGACCTTTACATCACACCCTACACAAAACCTAACCTGAAATCAACCATATACCTAACCATAAAAACATTCATAACCTAGGGTACGTAAAAGATTTCTTATTATGATACAAAAAAGCATGAACCTTAAGAGAAAAGCTTGATAAATAAGGCTTCATTAAAATTAACAATACTGGCTCTTCAAAAAAAACCGCAGACTGGGAGAAAATATTCACAATATTCTGAGAAAGGACTTGTAACCAGAATATATAAATAACTTAAAATAATTTACTAAAAGTAGTAACTTTATTTTCACAGTAAGAAAAGAAACATGACTTTTTTTTCTTTTTTTTGTGAGACAGGGTCTGGCTCTATTGCCCAGGCTGGAGTGCAGTAGTGCAATCTCAGCTCACTGCAACCTCGATCACCCCTCCATCGCCCTCCAAACCCCCGCAACCTCGCTCAAGCGATTGTCCCACCTCAGCCCCCCAAGTAGCTGGGACCATAGGAATGCGCTTCTGTGCCTGGCTAATTTTTCTTTTTTCTTTTTTTTTTTTGCAAAGACAGGGTTTTGTCATGTTCCTCAGGCTGGTCTCAAACTGTTGGCTCAAATGATCCATCCAGGTTGGCCTCCCAAAGTGCTGGAATTACAGGCGTGAGCCAGTGCACCCAGGCAGAAACATTGAGACAAAAAGAAATTATTAGGACAGGCGCAGTGGCTCACACCTGTAATCTCAGCACTTTGGGAGGCCGAGGCAGGTAGATCACCTGAGGTCAGGAGTTAGAGACCAGCATGACCAACATGGTGAAACCCCACCTACACTAAAAATACAAAATTAGCCAGGCATGGTGGCGCATGCCTGTAATCCCAGCTACTTGGGAGGCTAAGGCGTAAGAATTGCTTGAACCTGGGAGGCGGAGGTTGCAGTGAGCCAAGATGGCACCACTGCGTTCCAGCCTGGGCAATAGAGTGAGATTCCATCAAATAAATAAATAAATAAATAAAATGGAAAAAAGATTTGAACCATTTACTAAAAAAAGGTTGACAGCTGAAAACAAACACACACATGATGAGGTGCTCCTGGATCAGTCATCATCAGAGAAATGTACATTTAAGATCACAATGAGATACCATAAGACACCCATTAGACCTGTTGAAATTAAAAAGATAACACAATACCAAGTGTTGGCAAGGATGCAGAACACATGGAACCTACACATGTACCTGATCAGTTGGAATGTAAAATGACACAATCACTTTAGAAGATTGCTAGTTTCTTATTAATTGAAATATGTATTTACCAGGCAGTGTGTGGTGGCTCACATCTGTAATCCCAACACTTTGGGAGGCTGGGGCGGGTGGATCACTTGTGGTCAGGAGTTCGAGACCAGCCTGGCCAACGTGGTGAAACCCCGTCTCTACTAAAAATACAAAAAAATTAGCCAGGCATGGTGGTGCGCGCCTGTAATCCCAGCTACTTGGGAGGCTGAGGCGGGAGAATTGCTTGAACCCGGGACAGGGAGGTTGCCATGAGCTGAAATCACGCCACTGAACTCCAGCCTGGGCAACAGAGTGAGACTTCATCTCAAAAAAAATAAATAAATAAAAAATAAAATAAATTTTTTAAAAAAATGAAATATGCACTTACCATACCTCAGCAATTCCAATTCTAGGTATTTAACTAAAAGAAATAAAAACACAAACACTTGTACACAAATGCTCACAGCAGCTTCATTCATAATAGCCAAAAGCTGGCAATAACTCAAATGCCCATCGACTAGTAATGGGTAAATTAACTGTGGTATAATCATAAAATGAAATGCTACCCAGCAATAAAAAGGAATAAGCTGGCTGGGCACGGTGACTCACACCTGTAATCCCAGCACTTTGGGAGGCCAAGGCAGGTGGATCATTTGGGGTCAGGAGTTTGAGACCAGCCTGGCCAACATGGTGAAATCCCGTCTCTGCTAAAAAAAAAAAAAAAAAAAAAAAAAAGAGAGAGAGACAAAAATTAGCCAGGTGTGGTGGCACGTGCCTGTAATCCCAGCTACTTGGGAGGCTGAGGCAGTGGAATTGCAGACCAATTCTGGGACACAGAACAAGACTCCATCTCAAAAACAAACAAACAAACAAAAAGGAATAAGCTGATACTAACATGAAATTCAAATTACTACACTGTTTAGGACACACATATGAAATTATATACCAAGCTTGTCCAACTTGCGTCCTGGGACGGCTTTGAATGTGGCCCAACACAAATTCATAAACTTTCTTAAAACATTATAAGTTTTGCTATTTTTTTTTGTTTTGTTCATCAGCTATCATTAGTGTTACTGTATTTTATGTGTGGCCCAACACAATTCTTCTTCCAATATGACCCAGGGAAGCCAAAAGATTGAACACCTCTGTTACACGCTGTTTGATTCCATTTATTAAAAAAAAAAAAAAAATCTAGGGGCTGGCTGAGGTGGCTCACATCTGTAATCCTAGCACTCTGGGAGGCTGAGGTGAGCTCAAGAGTTCGAGACCAACCTGGGCAATATAATGAGACGTCTCCAAAAAAAGATTTTTTTACGTAAAAAAAGAAAAAAAAAAACCTAATCAAAAAAAAAAAAAGAAAAAGAAATCTAAAGAGGATAAATCTAATCTATAGTAAAAGAAGGCAGATTACTGGTTAACTGGAGCTAGTGGTAATAAAGTACAGTTGGACAGAGAAGAGGAACAGGCACAATGTTTTCCATCTTCACTGATGAAGCAAGTAGTTACATGAGCAAATATATTTGTCAAAACTCATTAAAATGTAAACATAAAAAGATGAGCATTTTCTTGTATGTAAATTACAGACTAATAAAACTGGTTAAAACATTTTGGATAGTCATTTAGAACAAGATAAATTGGATTCACATTTTATACTTTAAGATAAATTCTAAAATTAGCCAGGCATAATGGTACAGGCTGGTCTCAAACTCCTGAGCTCAAGTGATCCTCCCACCTCAGCCTCTCAGCCTCCCAGGGTGCCAGGAGACAGGCAGATCACGAGATCAGGAGTTCGAGACCAGCCTGACCAACACGGTAAAACCCCGTCTCTACTAAAAATACAAAAATTAGCTGGGTGTGGTGGCGCACCCCTGTAATTCCAGCTACTCAGGAGGCTGAGGCAGGGGAATCGCTTGAATCTGAGAGGCGGAGGTTGCAGTGAAGCTAAGTTAGCGCCACTCCATCAGAGCGACACTCCATCTCAAAAATAAATAAACAAACAAACAATTTAAGAGGAAAGAATAGTCTTTTCAACAAATGAGGTGGGGACAACGGATATCCACAAGCAAAAGGAAAAACCTGGACCACTACTCTCATCTCATACACAAAAATTAACTCAAAAGAGATTGTAGACTTAAATGTTAAGAGCTAAACTATAAAAATCATAGGAGTTTTATAGGCGTTTCATAGGAGTAAATCTCTGTGGCCTTGAGTTAGGCAATGCTTTGTCTGATATGACATCAGGAGCAACAGCAACAAAAGAAAAAACAAACAGATAAATTGAACTTCATCAAAATTAAAAACTGTGTTACAAAGAACACCATCAAGCAAGTAAAAAGATAACCTATAGTCAGGGCATGGTGGTTCGCGTCTAAAATCTCAGCACTTTGGGAAGGTGAGGCAGGCGGATCATTTGAGGTCAGGAGTTCAAGACCAGCCTGGCCAACATGGTGAAATTCCATCTCTACTAAAAATACAAAAATGGGCCGAGCGCGGTGGTGCACGCCTATAACCCCAGCTACTCTGGAGGCTGACGCAGGGGGATCGCTTGAGCTCAGGAATTCGAGACCAGCCTGGGAAGCACGGAGAAGCTCCATCTCTACAAAAAATATAAAAATTAGCCTGGTGTGGTGGCGTATGCCTGCAGCCCCAGCTATCTGGGAGGGTGAGGCAGGAGAATTGCTTGAACCCAGGAAGCGAAGGCTGCAGTGAGCCGAGATTGTGCCACTGTGCTCCAGCCTGGGCACGATCTCAAAACAATACAAAAAAACAAAAAACCACAATGACACTTCATAACCACTAGAATGGACATAACCCAAACCAAAGACATATCGGTTATTTATGAGGATGTGGAGAAACTGGAACACTTGTACATTACTGGTAGAAATACAAAATGATGCAGCTGCTTTGGAAAAGTTTGGCAGTTCCATCACAGCATTTCTACTTTAGGAGAAATGAAAATCTAAGGCCACATGAAAAAAAATTTTATTTTTTATTTTTTGAGACTCACTCTTTCACTCAGGCTGGGGTGCAGTGGTGTGATCTCAGCTCACTGCAGCCTCCGCCTCCCAGGTTCAAGCGATTCTGATGCTCCTGCCTCAGCCTCCTGAATAGCTGGGATTATAGGTGCACGCTACCATGCCAGTGTAATTTTTGTATTTTTAGTAGAGATGGGATTTCACCATGTTGGCCAGGCTGGTCTCAAACTCCTGACCTCAAGTCATCTGCCCACCTCAGCCTCCCAGACTGCTGGGATTATAGGCATGAGCCACTGCTCCCAGCCTCATATGAAAATTTGTACATGAAAATCCACAAAAGCATTACTCATTGCCAGAAAAAGGAAATAATCCAAATGTTCATCAACTGATGATAGGTAAAAGTGGTATATTCAGGCCAGGAGCAGTGGCTCACACCTGTAATCCCAGCACTTTGGGAGGCCGAGGGAGGTGGATCACTTGAGGCCAGGAGTTCAAGACCAGCCCGGCCAACATGGCAAAGCCCTTTCTCTACTATTTTTTTTTTTTTTTTTTTTTTGAGACGGAGTCTCGCTCTGTCACCCAGGCTGGAGTGCAGTGGCACCATCTCAGCTCACTGCCAGCTCTGCCTCCCAGGTTCATGCCATTCTCCTGCCTCAGCCTCCCGAGTAGCTGGGACTATAGGCACCTGCCACCACGCTCAGCTAATTGTTTGTATTTTTAGTAGAGACACGGTTTCACTGTATTAGCCAGGATGGTCTTGATCTCCTGACCTCGTGATCTGCCCACCTCGGCCTCCCAAAGTGCTGGATTACAGGCGTGAGCCACCGTGCCCAGACTCTGAGTATATCATTTCTATTAAAAAGACAGTACCTCCTGAAGTTAGAATGTGACTCTCCCATCAGATAGCCAAACTGTCATGCTTGCTCTTACTACAGTAACCTTTTATATTTTAATGACAACAAAAAGTTCCCATTGCATTGTTTTAAGTAATCATTGAAAACAGCTACACCTGCTGGTGATACATGAACACCTTAACACTACATTAAAATGGCAGTAAAAAAAAAAACCCACTTTCTTCTCAGAATTTCTAAAGGCCCTCAAAATAAGATTAAACTCTATAATTTGATTACATTATTTCAGGCAGAGTTCTTTCAACAGGTTCATATGTTCCAAGGCTAAAAAAAAAAAAAATAGCATACTGAGAAAACGAAAATTAAGAGTTTTAGTTAACATCTATGAAATCACAATTAGGTCAAACATGGAGAAAATTGGCTGGGCGCAGGCACTTTGGGAAGCAGAGCCAGGCAGATCGCTTGAGCCCAGGAGTTTGAGACCAGCCTAGGCAACATGGCAAAACCCATCTCTACAAAAAATACAAAAATTAGCTAGGTGTGGTGGTGTGCACCTGTAGCCCCCGCTATCCAGGGGACTGAGAAGGGAGGATCGCTTGAGCCCAGGAGGTCAAGGCTGCATTGAGCCATGATAGCGCCACTGCGTTCCAGCCTCAGCAGCAAAGCAAGACCCTGTATCAAACACATACACACACACACACACACACACACACACACACACACACACACACAAAACACCCAAAAAAACACATTGAGGAAATCTTATTAATTCAGGAAAAATGAAAACTTTATGTCAGAAAGGCAATTATTGGGCACTGAGAAATGTCTTTTCTGTATAAATTATTCTACTTTCTATAGTTTCTCAACTGATAGCAGTTAATCACTCTAAATTAACTGGTTGGCAAAAAAAAAACCCTTTAGCATTTTCCAACATTAAAAGAACTCTTTTTTTTTTTTTTTTTTTTTGGACGGAGTCTCGCTCTGTCACCCAGGCACGCACCACCATGCCCAGCTGATCTTTGTATTTTTAGTAGAGACGGGTTTTCACCATGTTGGCCAGGATGGTTTTGTACTCCTGACCTCAAGTGATCTGCCCACCTCGGCTTCCCAGAGTGTTGGGCTTACAGATGTGAGCCACCACACCTGGCCAAAAGATTTCCTTTTAAGAAAAATGTGGGATTTTTTCTACGAAGGCTCTTTAACCACACAAGCACAGAATACTAGTTTATGCAACTACATTATACGACAACTCCCTAATTTTAATGCAGAAACATCCATCTTATTTTTCTTTTTGAGGCAGGGTTTCGCTCTTTCACCCAAGCTGGAGCCCAGTGGTGCAGTCACAGTTCCCTGCAGCCTGGACCTTCTGGTTTCAATTGATCCTCCCACCTCAGTCTCCCAAGTAGCTAGGACTACAGGAGCACACCATGACGGCTGGCTAAGATTTCTATTTTTTTTTTGCAGAGATAGGTTTTTGCCATGTTGCCCAGGCTGGTCTTAAAACTCCCGGTCATGTGATCTGCCCACCTCAGCCTCTCAAAGTGCTGGAATTACACGTGAGCCACCAAGCCTAGCCGAAACATCCTTCTAATAGGATCTTAACATTGGTTGAAGTTAGTTGCCCCTCTGCTTCAAAAGAAATTCTGGCTTTGGGGAAATAACTGTAGGTATATATAAAGCAAGGTTAGCAATCTAGTAAATTAATCTAGCAAACCCTCTTCTTCAAATTTAAGTTCAGATTTAAATCAGATTTCAGATCAAAAAGCTTTGGAATTAACTTTTTTTTTTTTTTTTGAGATAGGGTCTCACTATATTGCCCATGCTGCTCTCGAACTCATGGGTTCAAGTCATCCTCCAGCTGGGATATCAGGCATGGAGCCACTGTGTCCAGCCAATTAGTCTGGTTTTTTTGTTTGTTTGTTTTTTGTTTGTTTGTTTGTTTTGAGATGGAGTCTCACTCTGTTGCCCAGGCTGAAGTGCAGTGGCACGATCTTGGCTCACTGCAACCCCTGCCTCCCGGGTTCAAGCAATTCTCCTGCCTCAGCCCCACCTAGTAGCTGGGATTACAGGCGGCAGGTGCCACCATGTCCGGCTAATTTTTGTATTTTAGTAGAGATGGGGTTTCGCCATGTTGGCCAGGCTGGTCTCAAACTACTGACCTCAGGTGATACACCCACCTCGGCCTCCCAAAGTGCTGGGATTACAGGCATAAGCCACCATGCCCAGCCAGTATTTATGTTTGAGACGGGGTCTCACTCTGTCGCCCAGGCTGGAGGGCAGTGGCATAATCACAGCTCACTGCAGCCTCTACTTCCTGGGCTCAAGTGATCCTCTCGCCTCAGTCCCCCAAACAGCTGGGGCTACAGGCATATGCCACCATGCCCAGCTAATTTTTTTGAATTTTAGTAGAGACAAAGTCTCTGTTGTCCAGGCTGATCTTGGGCTCCTGAGCTCAAGCAATCCTCCTGCCTTGGCCTCCCAAAGTGCTAAAATTACAGGTGTGAGCCATCACACCAGGCCTCCAATTACTCTTTTTGAAGAGGATACTATATAATCACAACTGATGGGCATTTTTTCTCCCCTGTTTTTCTTCATAAAATCCATGTGAATATCTATGTAATGTTGTTCATCAAAAGCCAATGCATAGCCTCATCAAAAAGTCAGAGCTAAACTACAACTATTTATTCATTATAAACTTAGTTACTCAATTCATGCAGCATGCAAACTACAAGCAAACACAGGCAGGATTATTCTCACCTTTACCTGCTCTATATGTCTTGGCTTGATTCACTGGCATGGGCGTCATAGGTATTGGGTATAAAGGCTTGAGAGAATTAAAAAAAAAATTAACATTAGGCACCTATGATAATAACAAGGTATTCTGTCACTCTTAGTTTTATATTGCTAGAGAGCTAGGCATGAGAAGGTTTCCTGATTCTCCATTAGTCATTAAAAAATTAGATCATACCCACAGCTAAAAGGAACAAACCCCAAACTACAGTAAATCTAAACCATCTTTTTCACAGAAAACATTCTCAGATTTAGGTCCTCATACTTAACAACACACTGAATCTCTGCATGCCTGTCTGTTTCAAATGCATATGCATAACCATCACACCCTCAAGTCACTGAAAACCTAAAGAGTGCTTGGTGTCAGATACAAACAATTGGGGAGGCTAAGTGAACATCAAATTCTATGACTTACTTGCACGCCTGGGCTCACTGGGACTGGATACATCATATTTGGTGCAAAACAAACAGGCTGAGTATAAACTGGAGTTGGCTGTTGATGACCCACCATAGATGGGCTAGGTTGTGCTTGAGGCCGAGGTGAAGTTGGGGTAGTAGAAGGCTTTGGCTACAAAAACAACAATAAATTCAATTATCTCAAGGTAACAGATGAACTATTATTGCAATTTAAAGACGGATTTTCCCAGTCTTTCTAATTTTACTTGCTTTAACTATGTCCCTTTTATTGAAAACAAAAACACAGCACATAAATTTTCACATTTCAATAAAAGAAAAAATGTTTCAGTAGGAACTTAAAACTTTGTCAATTAAAAAATATTAAAAACAGTGGCAGCTATTTTTAAGAAACTGATGGAAGTGTTTTTAAAAATTAAAAATAAATATATCTTCTTATGATCTCAGTCGAATAATAACAATAGTACAGTCATCTCTTAGTATCTGTGGGGGATTGGTTACAGTACCCTGTGAAGATACCAAAGTCTTGGAATGCTCAAGTCCCTTACATAAAATCATGTAGTATTCGCATACAACCTATGCATATCCTCCTATATACTTTACATCATCTCTAGATTATTTATAATACCTAAAACAAGGTAAATGCTTTACTGTATTGTTTTGGAATAATGACAAGGAAACGTCTGCATGTGTTCAGTATAGATTATCCTAACTATGTTTTTGATCCATGGTTGGTTGAATCCAGTGATGCAAAACCCTCAGGTGCAGAGGACGTATCTATAAACCTGACAGCCTAGCTAGCCAACCATCGTCAAATTCTGGGTCAGAGAAATTCAAAGATTTGCCCAAGATCACATCTAATTGATGACAAAACAAAGACCTTTTTTTAATGTTTAAAAAGTATTCATTAATGGCCATGTAAAAAAAAGAAAGAAGGTTGGTTCAGCACACTAAAACAAAATTCAGATGGCAGGTATGGAAGAAGGACTATTACTAATAATTTTTCTTTTTTTGGGACTAGATAACCTCAAAGAAAGTAATAAACCTACCTGAGAGAAGGAACGTGGGTTGAACTCCTTTGCATTGGGATTCAATGTTGATTTCCTAACTTGCCTAAAAAAAATATAAAGGCCAGTGAAATCTACATGGACTTTACGTTGCTCTAAAATCTTCCATACCTGACAATTTAAAAAAAATTGCTAAATATAGATTTAAACTGTTCTCACTAGAAGATCACTAATCGTTTTTATTGAAACATATACACTTATATTGCCCATTCCTTAATCCCTTAAAGAATACAGCCATAAAAGAACAATTTTTTAAAAATCTGAGTAATATACAACCGTTCCTCTCAAAGGCAATCAAAAAATACTTTTTTTTTTTCCTTCACAGAGTCCCACTCTGTTGCTCAGGTTGGAGTGCAGCAGTGCAATCTTGGCTCACTGCAACCTCTGCCTCCCGAGTTTAAGCCATTCTCTTGCCTTAGCCTCCTGATTAGCTGGGATTACAGGAGACTGCCACCACGCCCAGCTAATTTTTTTTAATATTTATTTTTAGTAAAGATGGGGTTTCACCATTTTGGCCACGCTGACCTTAAGTGATCTGCCTGACTCAGCCTCCCAAAGTGCTGGGATTACAGGTATGAGCTACCACGCCTGGCCAATCAACAAACACTTGAGCTGAAAAGACAGTAGCTACTTATGAAATATCCTTAAAAGCAATTCTTAACATAACAGTATCCTTTTATTTATTTATTTATTTATTTTTGAGACAGAGTCTCGCTCTGTCACCCAGGCTGGAGTGCAGTGGCATGATCTCGGCTCACTGCAGCCTCCACCTTCTGGGTTCAAGCAATTCTCCTGCCTCAGCCTCCCGAGTAGCTGGGATACAGGCACCTACCACCATGCCTGGCTAATTTTTGTATTTTTAGTACAGACAGGGTTTCACATGTTGGCCAGGCTGGTCTTCAACTCCTAACCTCAAGTAATCTACCTGCTTGGACCTCCCAGAGTGCTGGGATTATAGGTATGAGCTACCAGTCAACATACCAATATTCTAGCATGCAGTAATTCTTATGTGAGAAGATATTTTACATGACATACCTGGAAAAAGTCATGGCTGTAAAAAAAAATTGCCTCAAATCAAGAATAAGCAGTCCCCAATTTATCAATAAGCTGCATTCCAAAACTTCAGCTTTAACTGGATTGTTTGGTACCCAAACACCTAAGTCAATGGTAGTTAAGTTCTGAGGTTAGCCCCTAAAAGTCCATTTAATTAATATACTGAATGTGCAGAATTAAGTCTATCTTAACAAATCTAAACATTAACTAAAACACAGTTTCTGATGAAAAATATTTTGAATTCCAAGTAGAAGCACCGCATGCTTCTCTCCTTGACAGTGGCAGTTTTTCAACCTAGCAGCACAGTGAGGGTGACTAATGAGTGGAATCCAGTAAAGATAGGTCCCCTGAATTGATAATTTTTCAACTCCTGTTCATTTACAGAAAAACTTTTCTTAATTTATGCCTTGTTTTTCTAGCCCTGGGGTACAAAAAAGGGGAAGAACAGAAGAGTAGCACAGGGTGCAATAACCTCATTTACTTAAGATGTCATTTGTTTGGACTAGCTGTTTGTAAACTAAGGGCAATGTATAAAGTAGTCTAAAAGTCCAGATGGATTCTTCACAGTTGGAAGGACCTAAATGCCTTTAAAAAAAAAAAAGTTAATTGAGTAACAGGATGGTCTAAGTTCCAGGTTTACTCACTCAGCTGCGTCTTTCTTCTCTTCCTTATCGTCTTTCTCTTGTTTACATGCTGGGCTGGAAGTCTGAACCCCTTGGGAAGTGACCTCAGGTCCCCTCTTGTGCTCCGTGTTACTAAGTATTGAAGGGGAAATGCTGGGGCTATTCGGCTTGCTGCTGCCACTGGTACAGTTGCTGCTGCTATTTTCAATGAAAGAATCCTTAGCACTTGGTTCAATTTTGTCTTTGATCAAATCTCTTGATTTTTCTCCCTCTCTATTTTTGTTTAGTAGTTGATCCATAGATTCAGAAGTAGAACTTGGCTGTAACTAAATAAAGGAAACAATTATACTTAAATATCTTAAATAACTTTAGTAATACATTTTTGCCATGAGCACAAGCTACGTAATATTAACTATACGCATGAAATGTTCTGAATAAGGCTTTTTTCATACTTTAAGAGTAATGCTTTTACTATAAACTAACAATAACAGAGTACCTATATAGCACAACCACAGTCACCAAAGCACTCAAATGTCCTAGCCTCTAAAGTTCAATATTTACTGAGTGCTTACCACATGTCAGAAATTGTGCCTGCTGGGTGAGAAAAATATGAAATAGTTTCTATCCTCTTATACTTGTCATTTAAATAAGATCAGACACTTCACAATAAAATGAGTAAATGCTAAGAGAGTCTATAGAAAAAGCAACCTATAAAAAAGAAAGGTTTCTCAGTAAAGTGTCAGCTAGTCTAAGGTGTGAAAGAAGTTTAGGAAAGGTGTTGGGATGGAGAATAGTCTAAGTAAAAGGAAGAGTATGTTTAAAAATCCAAAGAAAAGGGAGAAGCTGGCTCTATCACATAAAACAATAGCACCAATGGGGGCCGGGCACGGTGGCTCACGCCTGTAATCCCAGCACTTTGGGAGGCCAAGGCAGGCGGATCACGAGGTCAGGAGATCGAGACCATCTTGGCTCACACGCTGAAACCCCATCTCTACTAAAAATACAAAAATTAGCCAGGCATGGTGGCAGGCGCCTATAGTCCCTGCTACTCGGGAGGCTGAGGTAGGAGAATGGTGTGAACCTGGGAAGTGGAGCTGCAGTGAGCCAAGATCACGCCACTGCACTCCAGCCTGGGTGACAGAGCGAGACTCCGTCTCAAAAAAAAAAAAAAAGATAGCACCAATGAGCTGGGCACAGTAGCTCATCACTGTAATTCCAGCCCTTTGGGAGGCTGAGACAAGCAGACTGCTTAAGCTCAGGAGTTCAAGACCAGCCTGGGCAACATAGTGATACCCTGTCTCATTTAAAAAATAATAATAAAATAAAATAAAATAACAAAAATAAAGAAGTAAAGAAAAGCACCAATGGCTGGACCAAGGGTGAGACACACATGTACAAGTGAGTCAGAAAATGATAGACTCGTCAAAAGGAATATGACAATAAAGGAACTTAAAAGCTATGTTCAGGGCTGCGTGCAGTGGCTAACACCTATCATCCTAGCACTTTGGGAAGCCAAGGCAGGTGGATCACTTGAGGTCAGGAGTTTAAGACCAGACTGGCCAACATGGTGAAACTCCGTCTCTACTAAAGATAAAAAAAAAAAATTAGCCAGGCGTGATGGCACACGTGTAAATCCCAGCTACTTGGGAGGCTGACATATGAGAATTGCTTGAACCCAGGAGGCGGAGGTTGCAGTGAGCCAAGATCACACCACTGCACTCCAGCCTGGGTGACAGAGCAAGACTCCATCTAAAAATTAAAAAAAAAAAAAAAAAAGTTTTAAAAAGCTACGTTTAGGACTTTGGCTTTTAATTCTCAGGGCAAATGGGCAGTCTATACGGAATTTTAAGTAGGGTAGAGTACTGGGCAGATTTATAGTTCAGAAAGGTGAACACAGCAGCTTTGTGTGAAATGAACTGGAGGGAGGCTAATTAGGATGTGGAGGGACCGTCATGGAGGCTGGACTAAGCGCTGGGCCTAGTCAGCTTGGAAGGTCATTAAGTAGGTGAATTCAGAATGAGACCTGACTGTACATATTGGTCAGTTAGACATTCTAAACCCCTAAGTAAAAAAAGGAGATGGCAGGGGAGAAGAGACAGAGCATGGTGGCCAAACAGAACCTTCCAGTGATCATCCCCAACAAGGAGCACCAAATTGAACAACTATCCACACAAGAAAGCACCTTCATAAGAACCAAAAATTAGGTAAGCGATCACAGTACCCAGTTTTGACATCCTATCAAGGAAAAAGACACCAAAAAAGATAAGGAAGATAGTCTTGAACTGCCCCTCCAACACCCCTGACATTCCCCCACAATGCAGTGTGGGGTGGAGAAAGAATCTGTGTGCTCGGGGGAGAGAGAGAGAAATGACTGTGGGATTTTGCATTGAAACTCAGTGCTGCCCTGTCACAGTGGAAAGCAGCATAGGACAGAATTCAGCCAGCACCCACAGAGGGAGTATTTAGACTAGCCCTAGTCAGAGGGGAATTGTCCATCCCAGTGATTAGAATCTGAATTTCGGGCTGGGCACTATGGTCTGTAATCCCAGCACTTTGGGAGGCCGAGGCGGACGGATAACCTGAGGTCGGGAGTTCAAGACCAGCCTGACCAACATGGAGAAACCTCATCTCTACTAAAAAACAAAAAAATTAGCCAGAGGTGGTAGCGCATGCCGGTAATCCCAGCTACTCAGGAGGCTGAGGTAGGAGAATTATTTGAACCCGGGAGGCGGAGGTTGTGGTGAGCTGAGATTGCGTCACTATACTCCAGCCTGGGCAATAAGAGCGAAACTCTGCCAAAAAAAACCAAAAGAATCTTAATTTTGGTAAGCCCCACCACCGTGGGTAAAGTCCTCTGGGGTCCTAAATAAACTTGAAAGGCAGTCTAGACCAGAAGGACTGCAATTCCTGGACAAGTCATGGTACTGTGCTGGGCTCATAGTCAGTGGACTTGGGGTACATGTGACCCACTGAGACACCAGCTAGGGTGGCCAAGGGAGTGCTTGTGCCAGCCTTCCCCCAACTCCAGGTACCACAGCTCACAGCTCTGGGAGGAGAGGGAAGAGTAGGGAGGACTTTGTCTTGCAATGTGGATACTAGTTCAGCCACAGTAAAATAAAGCACCAAGCATAGTTCTGAAGCCTCAATTCTAGGCCATAGCTCCCAGATGACATTTCTAGACATATTCTGGACCAGAAGGGAACCCATTGCCTTGAAGGGAAATACCTAGTCCTAGTAGGATTCACCACCAGCTGACTAAAGAGCCCTTGTGCCTTGAATAAAAAACAAGGTGCCATGTCGTATTGTGCCAGCTTCAGATATGACCCCGCACATTCACAGCTGTGGTGTCCATGGGGAGACCCACCTGCTTGAGGTGAGAGAAGAGTAAAAAGGACTTTATCTTGCAAGTGGGTGCCAGCTCAGCCCCAGTACAATAAAGCAGATTCCTAAAGCTCCCGATCCCAGGCCCTGGCTCCTGGGCAGCATTTCTAGACACACCCTGGGCCAGAAGGGAACCTGCTGCACTGAAAGTAAAGACCCAGTTCTTGCAGGATTCTTCACCTACTGACTAAAGCACCCTTGGGCCTTAAATTAACATCAGTGGTGGCCAGAAAATAGCTGCCACAGGCCTTGGGTGAGACCAAGTACAGTTCCAGTGACGGTGGCCATGGCAGTGCTTGTGTCACCCTTCCCCAAACTCCAAGCAGCTCAGCACAAAGAGAGACTCCATTTGTTTGGAGAAATGTAAGAGGACAAGAGACTGCCTGGTAATACAGGGAATTCTCCCAGATCTTCCCCAAGACTACCAAGGTGATACCTCTACAGAGTCACAACATTACTAGTCTTGGGGTGCCCTCTAATGCATGTATGGCTGCAGTGAGCGAAGACTTAGATGACAACACTTAATTCCCTTTGAATACTTGAAAAACCTTCTCAAGAAGAATGGGAGCCGGATGCAGTGGCTAACGCCTGTAATCCCAACACTCTGAGAGGCCAAGGCGGACAGATCACGAGGTTAGGAGTTCGAGACCAGCCTGACCAACATGGTGAAACACCATATTTACTAAAAATACAAAAATTAGCCAGGCGTGGTGGCACGCACCTGTAATCCCAGCTACTCAGGAGGCTGAGGCAGGAGAATTGCTTGAATCCGGGAGACGGAGGTTGCGGTGAGCAAAGACTGTGCCACTGCACTCCAGCCTGGGCGACAGAGCGAGACTCTGTCTCAAAAACAGAAAAAAAAAAAAAAGAATGCGTACAAACAAAACCAGACTACAAAGAACAGAATACCCAACTCTTCAATGCCCAGACACTGATGAACATCCACAAGCATCAAGGCCATCTGAGAAAACATGACCTCACCAAATGAACTAAAAATAAAGGACACCAGTGACCAATTCCCAAGTGATAAGAGATATGTGAACTTTCAGACAGAATTCAAGCTGAATGCTTTGAGAAAGTTCAACGAAATCCAAGATAATACAGAGAACAAATTCAGAATCCTATAAA
Organism: Homo sapiens; assembly: GCF_000001405.40. Taxonomy (NCBI): domain Eukaryota; kingdom Metazoa; phylum Chordata; class Mammalia; order Primates; family Hominidae; genus Homo; species Homo sapiens. Next base: position 111,492,964 of record NC_000012.12, read on the forward strand.
TTTAAAAAAGAGACTGCAATAATTATTAGTAAAAAGAATCAAGCAGAAATCCCAAAGTGGAAAAATTCAATTGACAAACTGAAAAATGCATCAGTCTCTCAATAGCAGAAATGTATCAAGCAGCAGAAAACATTAGTGAGCTTGAATTCAGGCTATTTGAAAATAAACAACCAAGTTGGGCACGATGACTCACGCTTATAATCCTAGCACTTTAGGATGCCAAGGCGGGCGGATCACCCTGAGGTCAGGAGCTCAAGACCAGCCTGGCAAATATGGCAAAACCCCGTCTTTACTAAAAATACAAAAAGTAGCTGGGCGTGGTGGCACATGCTTGTAATCCCAGCTACTTGGGAGGCTGAGGCAGAAGAATCGCTTGAACCTGGGAGTTGGAGGTTGTAGTGAGCCAAGATGGCACCACTGCACTCCAGGCTGGTAACAGAGCATGACTCTGTCTCAAAAAAAAAAAAAAAAAAAAAAAGTTCTTCAATCTGCAAGAAAAGGATGTTAACAAACAATAATAAATCACCTGAAGGTGCAAAAACTCACTGGTAACAAGTACACAGAAAAATACAGAATATTGTAACACTGTAATTGTGGTGTATAAACTACTACTCATATTTTGAGCAGGAAGAATAAAAAATGAACCTTTCAAAAATAAGAACTACAATTTTTTTTTTTTTTGTGAGACAGAGTCTTGCTCTGCTGCCCAGGCTGGACGGCAGTGGCGCGATCTCGGCTAACTGCAACCTCCGCCTCCCAGGTTCAAGCGATTCTCCTGCCTCAGCCTCCTGAGTAGCTAGGATTACAGGTGCGTGCCACCACGCCTGGCTAATTTTTGTATTTTTAGTAGAGACAGAGTTTCACCACGTTGGTCAGGCTGGTCTCGAACTCCTAACCTTGTGATTCGCCCCACCTTTGCCTTCCAAAGTGCTGGGATTAGGCGTGAGCCACTAGGCCAGGGTTTTGTTTTGTTTTGTATTGTTTTTTGAGACAGTCTTACTCTGTTGCCCAGACTGGAGTGCAGTGGCGCACTCTCGGCTCACTGCAACCTGGGCCTCCTGGGTTCAAGTGATTCTCCTGCCTCAGCCTCCGAGTAGCTGGGATTACAGGCACCCGCCACCATGTCCGGCTAATTTTTCTATTTTTAGTAGAGAGGGGGTTTTGCCATATTGGCTAGGCTGGTCTCGAACTCCTGACCTTAGGTGATCCGCCCACCTCAGCCTCCCAAAGTGCTGGGATTACACACGTGAACCACTGCGCCTGGCTTATAACTACAGTTTTTTAAGACATAGTATAATAAAGATATAAATAAAAACAACAAAAGTTAAAAAGCGGGCAGATGAAGTGTAGAGTTTTTATTAGTTTTCTCTTTGCTTGCTTGTTTTTGCAATCAAAGTTTCAAGTTGTCATTGGTTTAAAATAATGGGTTATAAAATGTTATTTGCAACCCTTATGTGATCTCTTTTTTTTTTTTTTTTTTGAGACGGAGTCTCACTCTGTCGCCCAGGCTGGGGTGCAGTGGCACAATATTGACTCACTGCAACCTCTGCCTCCTGGGTTCAAGCAATTCTCCTGCCTCAGCCTCCTGAGTATCTGAGATTACAGGCACGTGCCTCCACGCCTGGCTAAGTTTTGTATTTTTAGTAGAGATGGGGTTTCACCATGTTAGCCAGGCTGGTCTCAATCTCCTGACCTCTTGATCCACCCACCTCGGCCTCCCAAAGTGCTGGGATTACAGGTGTGAACCACTGCACCCAGCTGTCATGGTGATCTTAAATCAAAAACACCTACAACAGATACACAAAAAATATAAAGCAGGAAATTAAAACATACCACCAGAGAAAATCACTTTCAAAACAAGGAAGGGAGGGAGGGAAAAAAGGAGCGAAGAGGAAGTAAAAAAGAAGGGGGAAGGGAGGGAGTAGGACTACAAAACAACCAGATAATAAGTAACAAAATGGTAGTAGTTAAGTCCTCACTAATCAGTAACAACACTGAATGTAAATCGACTAAACTCTCCAATCAAAAGATACAGAGTGGCTAAATGGATTTAAAAAAAAGGCTGGGTGCGGTGGCTCACGCCTGTAATCCCAGGACTTTGGGAGGCCAAGGCAGGCAAATCACCTGAGGTTAGGAGTTCAAGAACAGCCTGACGAACATACTGAAACCCCATCTCTACTGAAAATACAAAAAATTTAGCTGGGCTTGGTGGCAGGCGCCTGTAATCCCAGCTACTTGGGAGGCTGAGGCAGGAGAATCGCTTGAACTCAGGAGGCGGAGGTTGCAGTGAGCTGAGATAGCGCCATTGCCCTCCAGCCTGGGCAACAATAGCAAAACTCTGTCTCAAAAAAAAAAAAAAAAAAACCAAAGATCCATTGCCTACAAGAAACACACTTTACCTATAAAATCACACATAGACTAAAATTGAAGAGCTGGAAAACAATATTCCATGCAAATGGAAACCAGAAAAGAACAGGAGTAGCTATGCTTAGATAAAATAGATTTTGAGACAAAGTCTATAAAAACAGACAAAGAAGATTATTGTATAATGATAAAGGGATCAATTCGGCAAGAGGTTATAACAAGTATAAATACATATGCAACCAATACTGGAGCATCCAGATATATAAAGCAAACATTATTAGAGCAAAAAAGAGAAACAGACCTCAGTAACAGTCGGAAACTTCAACACCCCACTCTCAGCAATGGACAGATCATTCAGACAGAAAATCAACAAAGAAACATTAGACCTAATTTGCTCTATAGACCAAATAGGCCCAATACATATTTACAGAACATTGTGTCCAACAGCTATAGAATACACATTCTTCTCCTCAACATATGGATTGCTCTCAAAGATAGACCCTATGTTAAGCCACAAAACAAGTCTAAAGATTTGACGTGGCACAGTGGCTCATGTCTGTAATCCCAGCACCTTGGGAGGCCGAAATAGGTGGATTGCTTGAGCTCAGGAGTTCGAAACAACCCTGGGACACATCGCAAAGCCCCATCTCTACAAAAAAAAAAAAAATCCAAAAATATCAGCCATATGTGACGGCATGTGCCTGTAGTCCCAGCTACTTGGAAGGCTAAGGTGGGAGGATTGCTTGAGCCAGGAAGGCGGAGGTTGCAGGTGAGCCAAGATCATGACATGTACTCCAGCCTGGGTAACAGAGTGAGACTCTGTTACAAACAAACAAACAAACAAACAAATAAATAAATAAAAATTCAAAAAAGTTAAAATCATATCAACTATCTTCTCTGATCACAATAAGATAACACTAGAGGCCGGGCACGGTGGCTCATGCCTGTAATTCCAGCACTTTAGGAGGCCAAGGTGGGTGGATCATCTGAGGTCAGGAGTTCGAGATCAGCTTGACCAACATGGTGAAACCCCCTCTCTACTAAAAATACAAAAAAAAATTAGCCAGGAGTGGTGGTACATGCCTGTAATCCCAGCTACTCAGGAGGCTGAGGCAGAAGAATCACTTGAACTGGGGAGGCAGAGGTTGCAGTAAGCCGAGATCGCGCCACTACACTCCAGCATGGGTGACAGAGCGAGACTCCATCTCAAAAAAACAAAAATAAAAATAAAATAAAATAACACTAGATAACAAGAGGAACTTTGGAAAGTATACAAATACATGAAAATTAAGCAATATGCTCCTGAATGACCAGTGGGTCCATGAAGAAATTAAGAAGAAAACTGGAAAATTCCTTGAAACAAATGAAAATGGAAACACAGCTTATCAAAACCTATAGGATACAGTAAAAGCAACAATAAGAGGAATGTTTACAGCAGTAAGTGCCTACATCAAAAAAGTGGAAAAACTTCATCTGCCAATACATCCTAAAGAACTAGAAAAGCAAGGACAAAACCTAAAATCAGTAGAAGAAATAAAAAAAATCAAAGCAGAAATAAATAAAATTGAAATGAAGAAAATACAAAAGATCAATAAAACAGTAAATTGTTTTGAAGAGATAAACAAAACTGACAAACCTTTAGCCAGACTCAGAAAAAAAAGAGAAAACCCAAATAATAAAATGAGAGATGAAAAAGGAGACATTATAATTGTTACCACCGAAATTCAAAGGATCATTAGAGACTACTATGAGCATCTATATGCTGATACATTGGAAAACCTTGAAGAAATGGATAAATTCCTAGACACATACAACCTACCAAGACTGAACCACAAAGAAATCCAAAACCCAAATACAATAACAAGTAACGAGACCAATAACAAGTAACGAGATCAAAGCTATAAGAAATAGTCTCCCAGCAAAGAAAAGCCATGGACCTGATGGCTTCACTGCTGAATTCTACTAAACCTTTAAAGAAGAACTAATACCAATCCTACTCAAACTATTCCAACACAATACAGGAAGAGGGAATACTTCTAAACTCATTCTACAAGGCCACTATTACCCTATACAAAACCAAAGGACACATCAAAAAGGGAAAACTAGAAGCCAGTGTCTCTGAAGAACATTATGCAAAAATCCTCAATATAATACTAGCAAACCGAATTCAGTAACACATTAAAAAGATCATTCATCATGACTAAGTGGGATTCATCCCAGGGATGCAAGGATGGTTCGACATACGCAAATCAATAAACATGGTACATCTTAACAGAATAAAAGACAAAGACTAAAAAATATATATATATATTATTTATACTGTGTATGATATAAATATATATCACATGATATAAATATATAATTTATATCACATAAAATGCCACATCCCCTTATGATTAAAACCCTTGGCCGGGCGTGGTGGCTCACGCCTGTAATCCCAGCACTTTGGGAGGCTGAGACGGGCAGATCATGAGGTCAGGAGTTCGAGACCATCCTGGCTAACACGGTGAAACCCCGTCTCTACTAAAAATACAAAAAATTAGCCGGGCGTGTTAGCGGACACCTGTAGTCCCAGCTACTCGGGAGGCTGAGGCAGGAGAACGGCATGAACCCAGGAGGTGGAGCTTGCAGTGAGCCAACATTGCGCCACTGCACTCCAGCCTGGGTGACAGAGTGAGACTCCATCTCAAAAACAAACAAACAAAAAAACCCCAAAGAACTGGGTATAGAAGGAATATACCTCAACAAAACAGAAGCCATATATGACAGACCCATAACTAGTACCATACTGAAAAGGGAAAAACTGAAAGGCTTTCCTCTAAGATCTGGAACAAGACAAGGATGCCCACTTTCACCATTGTTATTCAACATAATACTCGGAAGTCCTAATTGGAGCAATCAGACAACAGAAAGAAATAAAAAGCATCCACACTGGAATGGAAGAAGTCAAATTATCCTTGTTTGCAGATAATATGATCTTACATTTGGAAAAACCTAGACTCCAAAAAAGAAAAACCTATTAGAACTGACAAACAAATTCAGTAAAATTGCAGGATACAAAAATCAACACACAAAAATCAGGAGCATTTTTATATTTAACAGCAAACAATCTGAAAAATTTTTTAAACGCAATCCCATTTACAATAGCTACAAATATAATAAAATACTTAGGAATAAACTTAACCAAATGAGTAAAAGATTTCTATAATGACAACTTTAAAACACTGAAATTGATGACACAGAAAAAACATGAAAAGAGATTCCATGTTTATGGATTAGAAGAATTAATATTGCTAAAATGTTGATAATACTCAAAGCAATCTACAGATTCAGTGCAATCCCTATCAAAATACCAATGACATTCCTCACAGAAGTAGACAAAAATAATTCTAAAATTTGTAGGGAACCACAAAAGGCCCAAAAGAGCAAAAGCCATACTGAGCAAAATGAACAAAACGGGAGGAATCATTATCTGACTTCAAATTATTGTAACCAAAATGGCATGGTACTGGCATAAAAAAAGATATAGATCAATGAAACAGAACAGAGAACTCAGAAATGAATCCATACGTCTAAGTGAACTCATTTTCCACAAAGAAGCCATGAACATACACTGGGGAAAGGACAGTCTCTTCAATAAATGGTGCTGGGAAAACTGGATATCCATATGCAGAAGAATGAAACCAGACCCCTGTGTCCCACCATATTAAAAAAAAATCAAATCAAAATGGACTAAAGATTTAAATCTAAGACCTCAAACTATGAAACTACTAAAAGAAAACATTAAACTCCCAGGGACATTACTCTGGGCAAAGATTTCTTGAGTAATACCCCAAAAGTACAGGCAACCAAAGCAAAGATGGACAAATGGGATCACATCAAGTTAAAAAGCTTCTGCACAGCAAAGGAAACCATCAACAAAGTGAAGAGACAGCCCACAGAATGGGAGAAAATATTTGCAAACTACTCATCTGACAAGGGATCAATAACCAGAATATAAAAGGCACTCAAGCAACTCCATAGGGAAAATTTTAGTAACTCAATTAAAAATGGGCAAAAGATCTGAATAGACATTTCTCAAAAGACGACATACAGGCTGGGCGCAGCAGCTCACGCCTGTAATCCTAGCACTTTGGGAGGCTGAGGCAGGTAAATCACCTGAGGTTAGGAGTTCAAGACCAGCCTGGGCAACAAGGAGAAATCCCGTCTCTACTAAAAATACAAAAATTAGGCAGACATGGTGGCAGGAGGCAGGAGAATTGCTTGAATCCGGGAGGTGTAGGGCGCAGTGAGCCAAGATCACACCACTACGCTCCAGCCTGGGCAACAAAGTGAGACTCTGTCTCAAAAACAAAACAAAACAAAAAAAAAAGGAAGACATACAAGGCCAGGTGCAGTGGCTCACAACTATAATTTCAGCATTTTGGGAAGCCAAGGTGGGAGGATTGCTTGAGCCCAGGAGTTCGAGACCAGCCTGGGCCAAACAGCAAGACCTCATCGTTATTTATGAATGGCAAACAGGTATATGAAAGGTATTCAATACTACTGATCACCAGAAAAATGGAAATTAAAACTACAACAAGATATCATCTCACCCCAGTTAAAATGGCTTTTATCCAAAAGACAGGCAATAACAAATGCTGGTAACGATGTGGATAAAGGGGAACCTTCACACACTGTTGGTGGACATGTAAATTGGTAAAACCACTATGGAGAACAGTATGGAAATTCCTCAAAAAACTAAAAATAGAGCTACCATATGATCCAGCAATTGCACTGCTAGGTATATACTCAGAAAGGAAATCAGTTTATTGAAGGAATATCTGCACTCCCATGTTTACTACGGCACTATATACACAACAGCCAAGATTTGGAATCAACCTACGTGTCCACTGACAGACAAATGGAGAAAGAAAATGTGGTATATATACACAATAGATTACCATTCAGCCATAAAAAAGAATGAGATCCTGTCATTTGCAGCAATGTAGATGGCACTGGAGGACATTATGTTAAGTAAAATAAGCCAGGGACAGAAAGATAAACTTTGCATATTCTTACTCGTTTGCAGGCACTAAAAATAAAAACAATTGAACACATGGAGATAGCAGAATGGTTACCAGAAGTTGGGAAGGGTAATGGGGAGAAGAAGGGAAATGAGGTGATTAGTGGGTGCAAAGAAAATTTAGAAAGAACGAATAAGAACTCTGCAGGACCGGAGGCAGAAATGAAAAAGATATTAAAATGATTTAAAATAATTTTAAAGGCCGGGCACGGTGGCTCACGCCTGCAACCCCAGCACTTTGGGAGGCTGTGGCAGCCGGATCACAAGGTCAAGAGATCAAGACCATCCCAGCCAACATAGTGAAACCCCGTCTCTACTAAAAATACAAAAATTAGCTGGGCGTGGTGGCACGTGCCTGTAGTTCCAGCTAGTCAGGAGGCTGAGGCAGGAGAATCACTTGAACCCTGGAGGCGGAGGTTGCAGTGAGTTGAGACTGCGCCACCGCACTCCAGCCTGGCGACAGAGTGAGACTCCGTCTAAAAATAAATAAATAAAATAAGTTTAAAATTTAAAAAGTTAAATAAAGAATGAATAAGATCTAGTATTTGACAACAAAGCAGGGTGACTACAGTCAGCATTAATTTGTTGTACTTTTTAGAATAACTGAGGGAGTACAATTGCAACGTTCATTACACAAAGAAATGATGAATGATGATGGTGATGGATACCCCATTTACCCTAATGTGATTATTACACATTATATGCCTTTATCTAAATATCTCACAGACCCTATGAATAATACGTCTACTATGTACCCATAAAAAAATAAAAACCTTTAAAGTAGACTGCAAAACCAAGGACCATCAAAAAGAACAGAAGACAAAGATATTAGCAAAATAAGTGATGAGGTTTTTAAGTTTGCAGACCAGAAAAAATAAAATGCTACCACTGGCTGAAGATGATTTAAGATGGCATCCTCTACAAAAGAAAGAAAACAGGAATGGCTGAAAAAAGGGGGAGCAAGTACAAGCAACAAAAACAGAACCTAAGCCACAGGTTAGGACAACGGACCTAAGCCACAGCCCCAGGTGGTGAGAAACAAGCTAAAGAGAAACCTACACAGCCAAAAAGGTTGCCTTAAAATTAGAGAGCCAAGATACCTCTTCAGCCTCAGTATAGGCAAACCAATTTCAATGGTTTCATTACCAAGGCTCTTGGTGTCATGGCAAACAGCATTATGCAACTCTGGCGCATCGCAAGCTTTACTGCATTACCAATATAGCTAAAGAGTCAAGTGGCTAAGGGCAAATGTTGACAGGGTATTTATGTGGGCACACTGGCAATTTAAGTCACGATGTAGGAACTTACTACTTAAACTTTCATTTGTTCACAAAAATCTTTAGTAGAGGCGATCCACATAACAGACCAACTATATATATTGCCAAGGACTTCGGAGTTTAATTATCATAAGAGTTCTTGAGTGAAGGCAAAAATCAGACTTTTGGTGTTGCTTTTTCTTACAATGTCAAACACATCTGCATTTCTTACTATGGGTTGGACACTTTTTTTTTTTTTTCCAAACAGGGTCTGACTCCGTTGCCCAGACTGGAGCGCAGTGGTGCAAGCTCACCTCACTGCAACCTCCATCTCCCAGGCTCAAGTGATTCTCCCACCTCAGCCTCCTGAGTAGCTGGTACTATTAGCATGTGCCACCACACCTGGCTAATGTGTGTATTTTTTTGTAGAAACAGGGTTTTACCATGTTACCCAGGTTGGTCTTTAATGCCTGAGCTCAAGCTATCCACCTGTCTCAGCCTCCCAAAGTGCTAAGATTCAGGCATGAGCCACTGTACCTGTCCAGACACTGTTCTAAACTATTTATAGACTTATTCATTTAGTCTTCACAACAGCCCTATTTGATGTAGATACTATTATTGCCATCTTACAAATAGCAAGTCCACTAGTTGGTATCTGAATATAGCACTCTGCTGTATTGGAATATATTGTTCTAATGCTATATTGCTATATATGGAATATAGCACTCTGCTGTATTTCCTCTCTGCACTATACTAAATCTAATGGAAAACTTAAGTTCTTTTTTTTTCTTTTTTTTGGAGACGGAGTTTCGCTCTTATTGCCCAGGCTGGAGTGCAGCGGCACGATCTTAACTCATGGCAACCACCGCCTCCCGGGTTCAAGCATTTCTCCTGCCTCAGTCTTGCGAGTAGCTGGGATTACAGGCACCTGCCACCACGCCTGGCTAATTTTTTGTATTTTTAGTAGAGATGGGGTTTCATCATGTCGGCCAGGCTGGTCTGGAACTCCTGACCTCAGCTGATCCATCCACCTCAGCCTCCCAAAGTGCTGGGATTACAGGAGTGAGCCATCATGCCCAGCAGAAAACTGAAATTCTTATGTGACTCCACATGAAATGGTACAATGACACCATTGTACATACTCTGTACAATACTGGGTCATCTATATTTTGCTAGTAAGAATGAACATGTATTGAATACATACCATGTGCTAGGCACTATGCTAAACACTTTATAGGCAATATCTCATCGAGCTCTCACAGGAACACTATGAAGCAGGTTCTAAAATTAACCCATTTTGGCTTGGGGGAAGTAGATAGCATGCCACAATGTTACGCACATGATGTATAGAGGCCAACATTCAAACCTAGGTCCATTTACCTCTAAAACCCACATTATTAACCCAAAACAGATCAAATTACTAGCAATTCTTACACAAATAAAGCTATCAGCACTCTGCATATGGCTCAAAAGGGAAGGAACAACAAACACACAAGGTATTTCTATTTCTGCCTAAATGAAGGACTACAGATATTTGTGAACAAATGCAGTTTGGGGCTATGAGCATGTCATGAAGTTAGCTCTAATGAATCACTGACTGACAGTGCAGCATGCACTATGCATTAGTTACTATTCAAAGCACTGCTAGAAGCTTAAACACCAGATGGTCAGCCCTCTTACTTACTAGCCATGTGAGTTTGGGCAGATTACTTAACTTCTCTTTGCCCAAGCTGCCTAATATACACAGTGCAGATACAAACAGAACTTGCTTGACAGAGATGTTAGACAAGATTTAACATACAAGCATGAAGAACAGCATCTGGTACACAGGAAATACGCAATAAAACATAAGAGAATAACATTATATTATCTGAAGAGAACAATTAGAAAGTTCACTCTTTTATTTTTTTTTAATTAAAATTTAAGTTCTGGGACACATATTTTTTTTTTCCACTCTCTTTTTTTTTCTTTGAGACAGATTCTCGCTCTGTCGCCCACTGATGCAATCTCGGATCACTGCAACCTCCACCTCCTGGATTCAAGTGATTCTCCTGCCTCAGCCTCCTGAGTAGCTGGGATTACAGGCATGTGCCACCATGCCCGGCTAATTTATATATTTTTAATAAAGATAGGGTTTCGCCATGTTATCCAGGCTGGTCTCAAACTCCTGACCTCAAGTGATCCACCCGCCTCAGCCTCCCAAAGTGTTAGGATTATAGGTATCAGCCACCGTGCCCGGCCCACTCTCATTTTTTAAAAACCACTTCTTTTCTTCCTGGTATGCCCCTATGGATCAAGGAGTTATTAGTAAGAGGCTAAATAATACATTTGGTTATTCAGGCACCTAAAAGTAGTAAGACTAAAACTCCTAAAGAGATAAGACTTTTTATGTTGCTCCTTCTTGGAATTTAAGTCAAGCATTAATGAAGGTTTACAGAAAGTTGTGCTGATAGCTAAAATGTTTTCTGCTAACTGAAAAAGTACAGCCTTTTAAAATACAGTAACTCTAATCAAGACAGTATGGTACTGCCATAAGGATAAGACATAGAGATTCAGTGGAGGACAATTCAGAGTCCAGTAATAAACTTTCACATTTGTAGTCAACAGACTTCCAACAAGCATGTGAAGATAATTCAATGGAGGAAAGAATAGTCTTTTTTTTGAGATGGAGTCTCACTCTGTCGCCCACACTGGAGTGCATGATCTCAGCTCACTGCAACCTCTACCTCCTGGGTTCAAGCGAATCTCCTGCCTCAGCCACTACAGTAGTGGGACTAGACTACAGGTGTGCGCCACCACACCCAGGTAATTTTTGTATTTTTAGTAGACATGCGGTTTCACCATTTGGTCAGACTGGTTTCGAACTCCTGACCTCATGTGATCTGCCTGCTTGGGACTCCCAAAGTGCTGGGATTACAGGCGTTGAGAGCCACTGTGCCTGGCCAAGAATAGTCTTTTTAACAGATGGTGCTGGGACAACTAATACCTACATACGGAAGAATGAATCTGAACTTACACAGTAAAAATGGTTATAAGTGTATGGTTATGTGTCAATTAGAAATAAAAAATTAATATAAAGAATGAATTTGAACCCCACCTTATGCTATATTAAATAACTGCTCAAAATGGGCTGAGCACCAAGTCACTCTCCTATGACCTTTTTTAATTTTTTAATAACAATTTGTTTCACTTAAAAAAAATCAAATGTTATTCTCATAATATTGTTATAGGAAAGGGGTCCCGATCCAGACCCCCAGAGAGGGCTCTTGGATCTTGCACAAGAAAGAATTCAGGGCGAGTCCGCAGTGCAAGGTGAAAGCAATTTTTCACTTTGGGAGGCTGAGGTGGGCGTGTCACTTGAGTCCAAGTGTTTGAGACCAGCCTGGGCAACATGGCGAAATTCTGTCTCTACAAAAAAATACAAAAGTTATTAATAGCAAGGTGTGGTGGTGCACACCTGTAGTACCAGCTACTCATTTGAGCCCAGGAGGCTGAGGCTGCTGTGAGCCAAGATTGCACCACTGCCCTCCAGCCTAAGCAAAAGAGCGAGATTCTGTGTCAAAAGAAAAAAAAAGTTGCTCCAAATGGATCACACCTCTAAATGTAATTCTTAAAAAAACCCAGAAGAGTAATAAACCTTAATGATTGATGAAACAGTATTTTCTTAGATACGACACCAAAAGCTTACTTCAAAATCAGATAAATTGGACTTCATCAAAATTAAAAATTTTTGTGCTTCAAGGGATGAAAAAGTAAAAAGACAACCAACAGAACAGGAGAAAACATTTGCAAACCATGTATCTAACAGGGACTTGTACACACAATATATAAAGAACTCCCACAACCCAATAATAAAAAGACAACTCAATTTTTAAAATGGGTAAAGATTTGAACAGACATCAATCCAAAGAAGATATATAAATGGCCAATAAACACAAAAGATGTTCAACATCATTAGCCATGAAAGAACTGCACATTAAAGCCACAATGAGGTTAACACTTCACACCCACAAGGATGACTATAATCAAAAAAGACAAGACAATAAGTGTTAGCAAGGATGTGGAGAAACAGAAACCCTCATACCCTGCTGGTGGGAATGTAAAATAGTGTAGATATCTTGGCAAATAGCTTGGTAGTTCCTCAAAAGGTTAAACACAGTTGCCATATGACCCAGCAATTCAACTCCTAGGTAGGTACACAAAAGAAATGAAAAGATAGGACGAGAAAAAAACTGCACACTCATGTTTGTGGCAGTGTTATTCAGAATAGTCAAACAGTGAGAACACCACAAATAGCTACAAACTGATTAATGGATAAACAAAATGTGGTATTATCCACATCAAGGAATATTAGTCAGTCACAAAAAGAAATGAAGTACTGAAACATGCTCCAACATGGATGAACTTTTATAACACTACTCTGAGTGAAAGAAGCCAGTCATAAAAGCCACATATTTTATTATTCCATTTGTATGAAATGGAATTTGCCCCAAATAAGCCCATCCATAGAGACAGAAAGTAGATTAACGGTTGCTTAGGGTTGGGAGTAGGGGAAAGAGAAGGGCTGGAGGCAAATGTGGAACGACTGCTAAACTGGGCACGGGGTTTCTTTTGGGGGTGAAGAGTATGTTTTAAAATCAACTGAGAAGACGGTTGTACAACATTGTGAATATTTTAAAAACCACTGATTTATACACTTTAAATGGTTGATTTATATATGTAAATTATATCTCATTAAAAACCACTGATTTATACACTTTAAACGGTTTATTTATATATGTAAATTATATCTCAATAAAGCTGTTATAAAAACATGCTAATTCACATGCTTCAAAGTAGAAATGTTTTTTCTTCATGAGATATTAAATTCAATCCAAGTGTAGTATAAGAGGAGACTGAATGATGTTAAAAAAAATAATGCTGAGGAAAAAATTCAAATGGGGAAGAATACCTACAGCAAGACATCATTGTCCCTCTCCCTCTCCCCCCCTCCCCCTCCCCCTCCTTCTCCTTCTCCCCACGGTCTCCCTCTCCCTCTCTTTCCACGGTCTCCCTCTGATGCCGAGCCGAAGCTAGACTGTACTGCTGCCATCTCGGCTCACTGCAACCTCCCTGCCTGATTCTCCTGCCTCAGCCTGCCTAGTGCCTGTGATTGCAGGCCCGCGCCGCCACGCCTGACTGGTTTTCGTATTTTTTTGGTGGAGACGGGGTTTCGCTGTGTTGGCCGGGCTGGTCTCCAGCTCCTAACCGCGAGTGATCTGCCAGCCTCGGCCTCCCGAGGTGCCGGGATTGCAGACGGAGTCTCGTTCACTCAGTGCTCAATGGTGCCCAGGCTGGAGTGCAGTGGCGTGATCTCGGCTCGCTACAACCTCCACCTCCCAGCCACCTGCCTTGGCCTCCCAAAGTGCCGAGATTGCAGCCTCTGCCCGGCCGCCACCCCGTCTGGGAAGTGAGGAGCGTCTCTGCCTGGCCACCCATCGTCTGGGATGTGAGGAGCCCCTCTGCCCGGCTGCCCAGTCTGGGAAGTGAGGAGCACCTCTTCCCGGCCGCCATCCCGTCTAGGAAGTGAGGAGCGTCTCTGCCCGGCCACCCGTCGTCTGAGATGTGGGGAGCGCCTCTGCCCCGCTGCCCCGTCTGGGATGTGAGGAGCGCCTCTGCCCGGCCGCGACCCCGTCTGGGAGGTGAGGAGCGTCTCTGCCTGGCCGCCCCGTCTGAGAAGTGAGGAGCCCCTCTGCCCGGCAGCCGCCCCGTCTGAGAAGTGAGAAGCCCCTCCGCCTGGCAGCCACCCCGTCTGGGAAGTGAGGAGCATCTCCACCCGGCAGCCAACCCGTCCGGGAGGGAGGTGGGGGTCAGCCCCCGCCCGGCCAGCCGCCCCATCCGGGAGGGAGGTGGGGGGTCAGCCCCCGCCCAGCCAGCCGCCCCGTCCGGGAGGTGGGGGGCACCTCTGCCCGGCCGCCCCTTCTGGGAAGTGAGGAGCCCCTCTGCCCGGCCACCACCCCGTCTGGGAGGTGTACCCAACAGCTTATTGAGAACGGGCCATGATGACAATGGCGGCTTTGTGGAATAGAAAAGGGGGAAAGGTGGGGAAAAGATTGAGAAATCGGATGGTTGCTGCGTCTGTGGAGAAAGAAGTAGACATGGTAGACTTTTCATTTTGTTCTGTACTAAGAAAGATTCTTCTGCCTTGGGATCCTGTTGATCTATGACCTTACCCCCAACCCTGTGCTCTCTGAAACATGTGCTGTGTCACTCAGGGTTAAATGGATTAAGGGCGGTGCAAGATGTGCTTTGTTAAACAGATGCTTGAAGGCAGCATGCTCGTTAAGAGTCATCACCACTCCCTAATCTCAAGTACCCAGGGACACAAACACTGCGGAAGGCCGCAGGGTCCTCTGCCTAGGAAAACCAGAGACCTTTGTTCACTTTTTATCTGCTGACCTTCCCTCCACTATTGTCCTATGACCCTGCCAAATCCCCCTCTGCGAGAAACACCCAAGAATGATCAATTAAAAAAAAAAAAAAGACTTTATAGCAAATTTAAGATTATGCAAAATATCATCTATTGCTCACAGATATATTCATATGCAGTATAAATATAAAGAACTGCACAGAAAAGAAACCCTTCCTTTTGGAAGGAAACAGGGGGAAGCAGCTGAGGAGGGGCAGATACATAAGAGGAGTTTAACTGTGTTAGAATGCTTTATTTACTAAGCTGGGTAGTGGGCACATGATCATATTCAATATTCTTTGTATCATTTGTATGTGTTAACTATTGTTTAACAAATTGAAAAACTTTTTTTTTTTTTTTTTTTTTTTGAGATGCAGTCTTGCTCTGTCGCCCAGGATGGAGTGGAGTGGTGTGATCTCGGCTCACTGCAACCTCTGTCTCCTGGGTTCAAGCGATTATCCTGCCTCAGCCTGCCAAGTAGCTGGGATTACAAGTGTGCGCCACCATGCCTAGCTAATTTTTCTATTTTTGGTCAAGACAGGGTTTCACCATGTTGACCAGGCTGGTCTCGAACTCCTGACCTTAGGTGATCTGCCCACCTCGGCCTCCCAAAGTGCTAGGATTACAGGTGTGAGCCACCGTGCCCGCCAACAAATGAAAACTTAGGTTAACAACTGTTAATAGCATTAAAGCTGAATAGATACATGTGCTAAAGTATGAAATAATAAGTAGTATTTTGAATGTTACCAATAAGTCAAGAATGAAGCTATTGTTAACATTTAGAAAGCTAAAACACAGGCTGAGGAAAGGCTACCTTTGCCTTTGGTTCACTCATCCTTTAATTCAGCTACTTTTTTTAAAAGGCTGGTATTTAGATTTTCCTTTCTAAGAAGCTAAGTTTCAAGAAGATTTATTGGTTGGTCTCAAAATCTACCTCGATACCTATAGTAAATAACATGCAAAAGAATGAAATGACAATCAAGGAGAGATGTTAAGTAAAGCCTGTGCTAAGACAGAGAAATAATGTTACAGAAAGATTTTGACCACAATATATTTGTGTACAAAGTATAAATCTCCAACTACCTCAGAACACCAGAGTCCAGTACATCTTCCATTTGCCACACTAGATTATTAATGACTTGGCCTTGCTCTACTAATATCTAGCTTCACTGAACAAAGTACAAATGACCATCAAATAGTAAGCTGTGCTATGGTGGTTTCAAATGTCAGGGCTATACTCTCATTTGATACCTACATATTGTTGTTACCAAATCTCATGATTTTAGTTATCCCACTTAAAGGATAGGCAAAGACCACTTTAAAAATGTTCTGCTTTCTACATATATGGTTTGATGTTTCTGACTGTATACATAACGCATTTTTATAAATAGATAAATCTTTAGTAATGCTTATTTTCTAAAACTCAAATTCATCAGTTAGTACAATACTTACCCTAAAATCATTCTTAAATTTCTTTAAATCATCAATCTGTTTTCTATGTTCAGAAACAACTGGTGATATACCTGTAAAATTAAGAACTGTTAAGACACAGGTTTATTTTTAAACTTTAACATCACATTCTTTTTAGTATGAGATGATAGAAATTAGAATAAGATATAAGATCAGAAAATAATTTCAAATATTAAATTTGGATTTTGGAATTTGTCAAGCAATACATTTATCTATCACAATAGTAAGAAGAAATGTTGAACAAAAATATTCTGTATGGGCATGAAATTAGACATACTTCTTCCTATTCCTACAGTTAAGCTTAATGACTCTTTAAACTCTAACCTTTGTTTTCAGCTTTTGAGAAGCTAGGTGATGTTTCATTGGGTTTAATATTTTCTTTATTCCCTGCAGGAGAGTTCTGCCTCTGATCTTGAAGCCTGGAATCTTTAGCTAGAAAACAATTTTTTAAAAAAAATTCAGATAAGTTAGAAAAGCAAAACAAGAAAACACTGAACAATAATTTTGATTTCCTATGTTTTTGGAAAATAATGCTTTCATTTAAACAGAGGCTTTTTTTCCTTTGCAGATGTCATATGAAACACCAATAATTTTATTTATGTAGGTATTTGACACCCAGGAATGTTAACCTTTGTAACACAGACACTATATTAAATTAGTAGTATTAAACAACATCAAAATTTACATAAACTTTTAAATGTGCACTAAAAATACTTGTCTATGAATAAAAATAACCTAGAATTTTTTCATATAATATCACCCTCTAACATTCAATTTCACAGCTGAGATTATGGATCCAGAAGCCCTTTGTTACATACCCTCACTAGAAGGGGTAACAGCTCTGTTCGATGCAGGACTAGCAGGCGTAGGAGATGCAGCTGGAATAGGCATGGCAACAGCTTCAGTTGGAATAATACCAGCTTGGGGAGAAGCAAGAACTGGCCCACTGGGGGTATTTCCAATACTGTTCTGTCTGGGAGACCTGGGTCTATGAGTTTTAGGGGATAATCTTGGAACTAGAAGAAAGGGAAAATGTATTTATTACATTCTCAGTTCAAATGTTACTTCCTAAAAGAGGCTTCAGGCTTCTCTGAAGATCTAGGTAAATAAAACTGTCCTCTCTAGCCCTTACCCTTTATCCCATTACTGTTTTCTTTTCCAAAATGTTAGGAATTTGCTGGCAATCAAAACCACAAGTATATGAAGAACAGCAGCAATTACTAACATAAGTATGATTTTCTCTCCTAACTAAATGTATCAAGTGATTCTCCTGCCTCAGCCTCTGGAGTAGCTGGGATTAAAGGCACTCGCCACCACAACCAGCTAATTTTTTTGTATTTTTAGTAGAGACGGGGTTTCACCATGCTGGCCAGGCTGGTCTCAAACTCCTGACCTCAGGTGATCTGCCTACCTTGGCCTCCCAAAGTGCTGGGATTACAGGCATGAGCCACCATGCCCAGCCCTACACATTCTTTATAGCAACATCAAGGTCCACTGTGCAGTAATTAAGGAAACTTGAGACCCAAGTTAGTCAAAAGGGGAAGATAATAAAAGCAGGGTTTGTATCCCATATGACTTCCAAGTATATATCTAATAGGTTTCATATACCATTATAAACCTAACTGCAGAGCTCAGATTCAAAGGTTTAGAGAAAATGGTTCGATTATTTCATTTCAGTGTTTTTTTTTTTTTAAGTCACAAGGGTCACGGAAGAAAACTATTATTCAACAACTGCCATTTTTCCAATTAGTAAAAAGAGAAAATCTATAATGCTATTCTGAGTGTATCTCCAAAACTATGCTTATACTCTCTCACTTCTAATCATGTTATTCTCAAAATTTATTTCCAGACCATCTAAGTAATGTCAAAAGATTAACAGAATAGCTGAAGCAGATTTTTTTTTTTTTTTTTGAAATGGAGTCTCACTCTATAGCCCAGGCTGGAGTGCAGTGGCGCGATCTCCGCTCACCGCAACCTACACCTCCCGGGTCCTGGTTCAAGCAATTCTCCTGCCTCAGCCTCCTGAGCAGCTGGGATTACAAGAACGCGCCACAATGCCCAGCTAATTTTTGTATTTTTAGTAGAGACGACGTTTCACCATGTTGGCCAGGCTGGTGTTGAACTCCTGACCTCGTGATCCACCCGCCTCAGCCTCCCCAAGTGCTGGGATTACAGCCGTGAGCCACTGCGCCTGACCGGCTGAAGAAGATTTTTAAAATTTTTGTTTTCTTGGTAGTCTTAAGATAATTGAAGACCAAGGAAGAAAATAAAAAGTACAAAGGAATTTAGGATACAATTACATGAATGTGCATCACATGAAGCTGAGCAGAAATGTATAGCAACTAAAAACAGATTTAACACAGCTGAGTTTTGTTTTTGTTTCCTTAAGCTTGAAGATCTTGTTTCTTTTTTCTTTTTTTTGAGATAGAGTTTCGCTCTTGTCACCCAGACTGGAGTGCAATGGTGTGATCTTGGCTCACTGCAACCTTCACCTCCTGGGTTCAAATGATTCTCCTGCCTCAGCCTCTCAAATAGCCACCACACTCAGCTAATTTTGTATTTTTAGTAGAGATGGGGTTTCATCATGTTGGTCAGGCCAGTCTTGAACTCCTGACCTCAAGTGATCCACCCACCTCAGCCTCCCAAAGTGCTGGGATTACAGGCATGAGCCACAGCAACTGGCCGATCTTGTTTCTTTTAAAGGTTCTCTGGACTGATTAAAAGAGAAAAAGTGTTTTTTTTGTTTGTTTGTTTGTTTGTTTTAAGTATTCTTTGTAAGCTCTTGCTTACCACAGTTATGGGAACAAAGCACTAAGGACTGATTGGCAAAGTAGCAAAAGCAGTCAGCCTTATTGTAAAATCATGTCAACGTCTAGTTTTTAAACTTTTTTTTTTTTTTTTTTTTTGAGACAGAGTCTTGCTCTGTTGCCCATGCTGGAGTGCAATGGCGTGATCTCAGCTAACTGCAAGCTCCGCTTCCCGAGTTCATGCCATTCTCCTGCCTCAGCCTCCCAAGTAGCTGGGACTACAGGCACCCGCCACCATGCCCGGCTAATTTTTTTTGTACTTTTAGTAGGGACGGGGTTTCACCGTGTTAGCCAGGATGGTCTCGATCTCCTGACCTTGTGATCCGCCCACCTCAGCCTCCCAAAGTGCTGGGATTACAGGCGTGAGCCACCACACCCAGCCTAATTTTTATACTTTTATAGCTGCTGTCAGCATATTCCTTATGCTAATCACAAATAAAACTTGGACCCTTTATTTGTATTTGATATTCCTTATTATGGAAATATAGTTGGGAATTAGTGCCATATACAGATGCTATAGAAACACACTACAATGTAAGCCAAAAATAAATGTTTATAGAATGTACTGATAAACAAAGCTGCTAAAAAGATAAGGAAATACGGTCCCTCCAAATAGTGTTACATACTGTGTTTGCCTCATATTAGAGAGGTACTTTACAAAACTTTATAGTTTTACAATATATCTGTATTTATGAACCTTATAGGAATCTCATCACAATCCCATAATGTAGACTAGGCAAGAATTATTAACACTTTACTCACTGCGAAATCTCAACTTCAGAATGAGTGTCTGACTTGCTTTAATATATGATGAATAAGTGGTAGAGCCCAGAATAAAAATATGGGTTTCCCAATTCCTGGTGATTCTACTATTTTTAACATATACATACTTACACTTCCTCAAACAGAGTTGTAGCTCAGCCCTCTTTATATCTAGTGTAATGACAAAATGAGTACCATCATTATGCCCAAGTGTTACCTACCCCCACTGACCACTGATGACCACGTTCCCCCCGAGGGACTGGTCCTTGCTACTGGAGGAGTAGCTGCTTCACTGGGTGGGTTGTGGGATACAAATTCTAGGCCACTGGATATGGAACCCCTCCCAGCAGAAACTCTGTGATTTCGAGGATGTCGCTGGGCCTTTGGGGACATCCTTGGAGGCCCTAAGGAAGAAACAGTGAACATCACATAAATTCCATGATATTCATCAGTACTACTTTTCTGCTAAATACACCCATTCACACACACATGCACACACACTCACTCACTCTACAGTTTTTCCTTGGTTAAAAATAGAAAAAAAAAAAACACCATACATATTTTTTTGGCCATACTAATTCTTTCAGAATTATTTTGTGGAATGCCACAAAGTTTTATAAATAAATTTTATTATTTCCCTTTATTTTTAAAGAAAGGGAGGGATGAAGTTGGTGGTAAGAAATCAACAATAAGATGTCAACTCTTAAAAGAACTGTAGCAATCTGTTTCAACTATGTCTTATTTGTAAAGAAATATGTTACTAGAAATTATGACTACATGATAAAATATTTTTAACTTTCCATATATTTTACCTTTCCCTGACCCGAATTTTCTACATTACTTCTAAAATTAGAAAAAAAAAATTTAAACAGAAGACTATTAATCCCTATACACCCCGATACCACTAAAACATATGTACATACCCTTCTTAAATTTCTCTAAAATTTTAGTTTATTTATCTCTTCTATCATGATCATCAATTTTAAAACTCGGCTTAAAACAGTAAGCAGTAACCTGTAAGCAGTTTCTTAGGCTTAGCAGGCTGTGAGCTGAAAATTCTATTAAAGGGATGACTTGTATTAGTCTATTAATAGATGACCAAAATAACTGACATTTGGGGGAGAAATCAGCACTATATGAATTGTCAAAATTCTACATTATTGATTCTGCCATGCCACTAGTGACTACTCTTTCTAAATCAGTCTACTGTGCATTAGACCAATCTATCAGGTAAAAGAGTGGACAGAATGGCCCTCATCAGAGAAGCCTACTGGTGTTAACACCAAGCGAAAACTTCCCTAATGTCAAAGCCAAATCTCCTCACTCTCTCACCCGGCTGCCAAACTCTTTAGAACTTCAAATTAATATATGTTGCCAATAGAATTATTATTTTATTTTTATTTTTATAAGACAGAGTCTGTCTCTGTCGCCCAGGCTGGAGTGCAGTGGTACGATCTCAACTCACTGCAACCTCTGCCTCCCAGGTTCAAGTGATTCTCCTGCCTCAGCCTCCCAAGTAGCTGGGTATTTTTAGTAGAGACGAGGTTTCACCATGTTGGCCAGGCTGGTCTCAAACTCCTGACCTCAAGTGATCCACCTGCCTCAGCCTCCCAAAGTGCTGAGATTACAGGCGTTAGCCACCATGCCTGGCTTCCAACAGGAATTTAAACACGAACATGATCTTTAGAAGAATGCTAATGTTATACACTATAATTTTCAAATGGAAATATTCAACATCTCTGAATGACACAGAAAGTATATTTCTGTGTGAAGTTAATACATGAGCAGTCCTTAAATCTTAATGTAATAAAGATGTTCACAGTCATTAATGATCATGTTTTATTTAATATATTCTCATTAAATAAACATCGCTTACTCAAATGATGGACTACAAGAAAAATATCAACAGAATTTTGCATTTAGTGACCACTATTAAGGCCCTTTTGAGCAAAGAAGTCACCTTGAAAATCAGTGGAACTTGCTCTTCAAGGTTAGATGCTTCAGTCAAAGTCATATGACCTGCCTGCTTAGATGGTAACAATTTATTTAAAAGTAGCCAATACAGTTTTCTCCAGGGAAGCAGGAGAAACACATTTTGTGCGGAAAACTTTATTAGTCCCAACATAAGCAATATTAACTAATTTTAATGAACAAATCAGATTAAAATTTTAACACAAATATTCAGAACTAGTATCAAAAGGACATTATGATTCAGAAAACAGGTTTTTAATATATGGGTGGCATTTAAATTAGAATGTTACCTTTCTACAACATATCCCTGTATTTGATATGTGGCAATGATGGATTTAGCGCCAAATACTGAATAAGAATTACAAGATTTTATTCTTATTTTTGACGAGGAAAGAAATAGCTAAATATTCAAATTCATATGTCGTTTTTATCAATTTTATCTCAGATCAAGGACTTCTTCCAGATTAAAGCAGCCTTTCACTATGTAAGATTGCAAAGCTAACTTTAAAAAAATTACTCAGTTAAATTTAGAATTCTTCTGGCATTCTAAAAATCAACTACTTTAATCTAAGGGCAGACACGCAAAGTCAGCTACATGGGCTGTCGCTCTCAAAAAAGACCCAGAAAACACCATCCCTGCTTATGGCCAATAGGAAGGTTCACTAGGACCTTGGCCAAAGAGCTGTAAAATGAACCTAAGTTCAAGACTGGCTGAAGAAAGTTCATTTGTTTAACTACTGTATACAGTGCAAATAAGGAGGGGGAAGGCTGTGGGGCAGACCCTTCTGGGGCTGTAAAGAAGCATAATTATCAGGCAGAGATAAACCCCCTTTTTAACAACAATTCAAGAGAGTTTATAGCTTCACACATTTATCAAATTTCTCTCTAATGAACAAAAGGTTAATAGAAATAGTTTTAATAAACTAAAGTTAAAACACAGAAATTATAGGTTATTAAATAATGAAGAGGAAACTATTTTGTAATTATAAACTCACATAGGAGTTAAACAAAGACAAACAAAAACATGAACAAATTGTGGTATTGTACCTTCTGAAGACATGCGTTTAGGCATAGTAGAGACAGGAGCTGGAGAACCATGAGCAGAGGGGTGAGACGGGGGTCTGGATGGCCGCGAGGGGGGCCTGGAGGGCGGCCGTGTAGGGGTGGCTGCCCGAGGTGGAAGAGAGTTGGGACCTGACTGGTAGCGAGAAGGTGGGCGAGAGGAAGGAGATGGGCAAGGCGATGGCCAGGGAACACCTGACAGAACAAATGATATGAAGGAAAGTATAAAAACTAAAGAAAAAAATGAGGGAAAAAAGTAAACAGAAAAAAAGTAAAATGACAAAAATGATTTCTTGTACATTTTAACCCTTTGAGGACAGTCATTTGATTTGTGATAAGTTTTAGCATAACTTAACTGACATAAATTCACATTTTACTTTAACCTCCTTAAGATTAAGTCTGTTTAAATGAATACACGTTCCCAAAGGGTTAATTAGGATCTATACACACTATTGAAGAAGACAGTTAAGACTTTGCCTATTAATCCTGCTTCTATAACTGTTTCTCAGTAACTGGTTGTTTAAAGGAATATAACATACACTAGATAATTTCACATAATAAATCACAATAATTCCTACTCAGGAGTAAGATTATTTACTGTATTAGTTTTAACTCTGAGGCATAACGAAAATAAGCAGTAGCTATTATATCCAATTAGAAATGCTGGTTCCTTACAATTATCTATGATTTTCATCAGGTTTACACTTGAACCCAGAACTCAGTTTGGAATCTTATTAAGCAAGTCCCATTTAAGTAGAAATAAAACATTACTCTTCTAGAGTTTGTGACTCCTGTGAGTATCAAATGATAATATTCATTGCTATTTCAAAAAAAAAGTCTTGACCTCATTAAACTAGAAAAAGGGAGACCTTCTAAATAATTTATACAGTTAAACACTTATCTAAGCGACTGCTTAATAAATACTGCAACTACAAAGCAGTCATCACCAAATAAATTTATACTGATGGATATGCCTAGGTAAAGATACAGCTAGTATTTAACATTACATATCACTTACCTTAATCTTATCAAACAGTCCAGGTCTCCTCTCCATAGGGTTCCACACACTTAAGTATCATATATTTCTCAGCCCCCTTCAGGTTTTTTAACTTTAAAATTCTGTTTATAAACAACTAAAATCTTTCCTCAGTGAGCAAAGAAATTTCACCCCCAATATTAAGTACTGAAAATACTCAAGAGTGTCCATTTGGAGAGGAATTCTGGAGAAAAGACTCAATGAAAACAAATGAAATTGGAAACTTAGTGTTCTCTATTTTCATCTAACTTTCCAAATTTAAATAGCTAAAATTGAATGTCCACTCTTTTCCCACAAAGTTAGTAACATACTATTGCTATTACTATTTCCATACCATCCATAGAACTGTTGTTCAGTATCCCTGATTTATGGAAAAGATCCACAACCTACAAGATATATTCAACCTAGATTTAGAGGTAGAGTAAAAAATGTCTTCCTACTAAAGATTCAGGTTTCTTTTACTTAAGTTGCTAAACTGTAACATCCACCCTTAGACTAAGGGTTGTTTTTGTTGTTTTTTAAGCAAATTTCTCTAGTCACTTTCTTCACATGACTCTTGATCATGTCTTGTATTATAAGTTACCTCAGATCCTTTCTTGAAGTAAGCATAATATAGAAACAAATAATGAAAATTGATCTATATTAACCACAGTGTTGCACATAGGTTAGAATTTTCCATATAAATTATGTCTAAAAAATTTTATTATCCAGTGTTTTTAAAATTGAGAACCTACCCAAAGTTTCCAATTTCTTTATATGTGAAGTGTTTTTGGCCAAGTGATTGTCTTGGGTTAAATGTAGCACTTTATCTTAGTACATCATGAATATTTCATCATGCTAAATAATATATATGTCAATGACATATACAATGTTTTACTAATTTAATATCCACAAAAGCCAATTTTAAGTAATGCTGAAGTGAAAGCTACTCACCAAATCATTAAAGTGCACATTCATATCAGTTATGTAAACTATTTTAAGTATTTTAAGTATTTAGAAAACTATTTTATCAATGATATTGACAAGTCTGGTCAAAATACTTGCCTCCATTAACTACTCTTTGGTCTGAACCAGAATTCGGGTTGAAATCTGAAGTGTGAGAAGTGGATCTTGATGGCATGGAGCCCGATCCAGGCTGGCCCATACGCGGTGAATTCTGTCTCCCACTTCCCCAGGATATGACTTCTCTATTTCTTTGTCCAGGAGGAATATATTTATTTTCCCTGAAAATGAGAGATCCTCTAAATCATTTTATTCTAAAAGGTACCAAGCCAATGAAACATATCTAAAAGTCATCTAGACAGAAGGGAATGCTTGTTACAAAAAGGTTCTACACTAAACCAAACTGCCTCACTCCCAGATGCCCCTGTTCTTCCATCTTACCCTGAGTTCTAACCTCTGGACTGTCCCTTCCCTTAGATTCTGCTCCTAAGCACAAAGTTTAACAGATGCGTGCTCATTCTCATCCCACTTGACCTCTCTATGGCTGATTCCATCAATCTTGGTCTATCTTCACAACATTTTTTGTCCTTCACTTTCTCAATTTTATTTTCTCTGAGATCTCTTCTCTCACTGGCTGTTCTTTGGTTTTTCATGGCTCCAATATCGGCAATGCTGATGAAACCTCAAACTGAACCGCCAGTCTCACAGTGTCAACATCTATCAGTGGACATGTCAATTCAAATCACCAGACTCTAAGCTGACTGCCTTTAAGAGAGGATGCATCTCTTACTTTACTAGATAGGTAGCAGGTATTTCTCAACACGTTTATGAATAAATGAAAGACCCACAAGCCCACATATGCAATTAGCTGCACAAACGGAGTCACTGTTTTTCCCCTCAAACTTGCTCCATGTTTCCTCTCTCTCTTACCAGTACATCCATTAAGTCACTTAGTTATCAAATAAACCTCAGGCTCATCCCTTAACTAGGTGGTTACCAAATTCTCACAGTTGAACTATTTCAGTGCACTAACTGTTCTCTGTGTCTCAGCCAGTCCTCAATGCCCCAGGGTTTATTCACCCCATCTCCTTCCAACAGGGTGCTCTTTAGCATGACATGCCAAGTCCTTTAATGACCTCAGTTCCTACTATCAACTGCCACTGCTGCACCTGACACAGATCCTGTGTTCCAGACACATGCAACAACCAGCCCTCTCCTGAGCTGGCCAAATTTTCTCATAGCCATGCTTGTACATGGCTTTTCATCAGGTGATAAACTCTTCTCCCAACTCTTCTCTAAGTGTCAAAGACCCTATTATCTTATCACAAAATGTCACCTCCTCAATGAGGTTTTCTCTGACTCTACAGGTTATGCTAGCTCCTCCTCATTCTGTATGTTCCTAGTACTTTGAACATGCCTTTAACCAAGCAAATCATATTGTACTGCTGTGATTGTTACACGTGTCCCCCACCAGATAACTATTTTAACAAGCTCTTCAAGATCTTGGATTGCTCACCGTGATATACCAACACTTGGCTCCACAGAGCTTACTCTCAAAAGCATATTTTCCAAGATCACCATAACCTTTTCTCTAACAGATCTTAAACCAATTCTACTTGCATTCTCTACCTAAGCTATATTAAAGGAAGAGGAAATATAATAACAATACACCGTCTCACACAGACCTTGAGTTGTGTATCCAAAATACTGCATCATGATTTCCTTTAAATACCTAGTGTTTATGCTGTGCCCCTCACGTTCACTGGAATTTCTCTGAACTGCTGTGTATTTTTCTTCCTCACTCCTATCATCATTTTCCAGGGCCACTCGAGCTTTGTACTGGGCACTTGACTCAATTTCTTCTGCTAACTGGTTTGCCCTTGCTTCCCGTTTTAAAAATTCTTCTGAGTTATCTCTTTCTAAGGGCACTCTGAAACATGAGGAAAAGAAAAGCAAAATGAGTCCTTTAAAGCCACAGTTTATGTATCTGTCATAATCAACTACTAAGAAAGTTTAGAGTTTAGAATACTGGTAAAAACAGAAACTAAAACTAAAACTAAAACTAAAAGTTATAGTGATCTGTGTATTTATAAATCAAAATTCTAACTTTTTTTTCTGTTACCTTTTCTCCAGAGGAACATATTTCAAAAACTGGTTAAACTGTTCACCATAATCTCTGCCCTTGCAAATTTAGATATTTTTTAACAACTTAGAAGACAAAACCGGCCAGGCACAGTGGCTCACACCTGTAATCCCAGCACTTTGGGAGGCCGAGGCAGGTGGATCACGAGGTGAAGAGATCGAGACTATCCTGGCCAACATGGTGAAACCCCGTCTCTACTAAAAATACAGAAATTAGATGGGCATGGTAGCACGCGCCTATAGTCCCAGCTACTCGGGAGGCTGAGGCAGGAGAATCGCTTGAACCCGGGATGCAGAGGTTGCAGTGAGCCGAGATTGCACCACTGCACTCCAGCCTGGAGACACAGCGAGATTCCCTCTCAAAAGAAAAAAAAAGACAAAACCAAAATTTGTTTAGAGCATAAAAACAGGGTATAGGCAAACTACATTTATTCCCTTTTTTTAATGGAAATTTATCACAGTTGGTAATAAGAGAAAAATTATTTCATGTAATTGTTTAACTTAAAAACTAACAAACATTTATTCATCATAAATTAAGCTGATGAAAATCAAAGACAAATGCACTAAAATAAAAACAAACTTTTCAAACTTACGTATACGAAGATAAACTGCTATCATACGTAGACACTACACCATAATTTTCTTCATTATATCGAAACATATCATTGGGATCCCATCCATTAGACTAGAAGAAAATGAAGCTTGTTTTTCAAAATGTCAAAGTAGTTGTTCCCTTTCATTCAGTTATAACCAACATCTATATTAACAATATCTAACAAACTACTTGAGCAAAATTAGCAAATTAGAAAATAGGAAAAAATTTCCTTAAAAATGTTTTAGAAAAATACTTATCAGCCCCTCCAGTTGATAAGTAACTATACAACACAATTATTTGAGCAGTTATTTTTAAAGTTTAGAACATTTTAATTACTTCATAAAATAGCCTTCAGATCAGGGTTCTCTCTTTTCTCTAACCTGTAAAAGCCACCTTTCAGTTAGAGACATCTACATTTACCTGTAACCTTCTTGAGATCACACTGGTCCTCAGGTCTGTGGAGGACAGGAGGTACATATTTTACTTCTTTTAAACAAGGGATTCCACATGGAACAAGGGGTGCTTTTTAACAGCCAAAAATACTTCCAATGTTTGGGAGAAAGAAGGGAGAAGCCAACGCTTTCCCTCATATTCAACGATTCCAAGGTCGGACTATGGTACTAGGTCCCTGGCAACCTCCCCTTCCTCCTGGGAATGCTCAAATGGGAAGGCAGCATGAAACGGTGAACAGGCAATCACTGGACAAAGTCACAAGAACTGGGCTTTAGAAATGGTTTTACCATTAGCAGTTGTGACACCTCAGAAGTGGCAACTCTGGATCTCAATACCCTAACCTATAACCTCAGCATAGGTAACTCCACAATTCTACGAGGAAACTATAGGAAATTACCATTCGCAAAAGGGAGGCTGCCTTCTTTTTTTGGTGGGGGGGAGCCAGGGGCAAGCAAGTTTATTAAGAAAGTAAATAAAAGAATCCTACTCCATAGGCAGAGCAGCTGAGGCTGCATTCTTTAACGTAAAAGAATCAACCAATTGGGCCACAGGCTGGAAGACTATTTACCAGTGAATATTACTGCCTGGATAATTATTCTCTAATGTTTCAACTCCTTTTTTAAAGCCTTACTGGTGAAAAGTATAAAGTCCAGTAAAGGTTGTAATCCATCCCAGAAGAATGAACACATCAACCAAGCAATGCTGATGGCAACCTCAATGCTAAGGCTTGCCTCGAAGTTCACCTATTAACCTTGGGTCCTCCTGTGCTACTCCAGGTAAGACTATAATGTAAGTCTACCACCAATGCAATTCCTTTTGCCAAACACATGGGCAGGAAATCACACTTACTTATGGAGGCTTTAAAATTACTTAAGTAATGTATGCCCTACATAAAAAAAAAAAAAAAAAAGCACACAATACGGAAAGACATCCAGTAAAAAGTAAATGTCTTCCAATCCCAGCGTGCATAAATAACTACTATTAAGAGTTCTGGCCGGGCACGGTGGCTCATGCCTGGTATCCCAGCACTTTGGGAGGCCGAGGCAGGAGGATCACGAAGTCAGGAGATTGAGACCATGCTGGCTAACATGGTGAAACCCTGTCTCTACTAAAAATACAAAAAATTAGCCAGGTGTGGTGGCGGGAGCCTGTAGTCCCAGCTACTTGGGAGGCTAGGGCAGGAGAATGGTGTGAACCCGGGAGGCAGAGCTTGCAGTGAGCTGAGATCACACCACTGCACTCAAGTCTGGGCGACAGAGCGAGACTCCATCTTAAAAGAAAAAAAAAGAGTTTCAGCCGGGCGCAGTGGCTCATGCCTGTAATCCCAGCACTTTGAGAGGCCAAGGTGGGTGGATCACCTGAGATTAGGAGTTCGGGACCAGCCTGGCCAACATGTTGAAACCCTGTCTCTACTAAAAATACAAAAAATTAGCCAGATGTGGTGGCGGGCGCTTGTAGTCCCAGCTACTCAGAAGGCTGAAGCAGGAGAATCGCTTGAACCTGGAAGGCAGAGGTTTCAGTGAGCCAAGATCACGCCATTGCACTCCAGCCTGGACAACAGAGCAAGACTCCGTCTCAAAAAGAGTTTCTTGGGTGTAATTTCAGACATCTTCTAGGCAATAAGAATATGAACAGCTCTTTAAAAAAAAAAAAAAATTTCATGGCCAGGTGCGGTGGCTCATGCCAGTAATCGCAGCACTTTGGGAGGCTGAGGCAGGTGGATCACGAGTTCAGGAGTTCAAGACCAGCCTGACAAACATGGTGAAACCCCTTCTCTACTAAAAACACAAAAATTAGCTGGGCATGGTGGCAGCTACTCAGGAGGCTGAGGCAGGAGAATCGCTTGAACCCGGGAGGCGGAGGTTGCAGTGTGACAGAGCAAGACTCTGTCTCAAAAAAAGAAAAAAAAAAGCAAATAGGATCCCAGTGTTCTGCAATGTGCTTTTTCTCTTAATAAATCTTAGATATCTTTCCATATTGGAACACCATTCTTTTTGGGAGATATGTAGTGTTTCAATTGAATGGTGACATCATAAATCTAACTCATGCTATATTGATAGACACTTAGCATGTTTCCAATTTTTCACTATTAGAAATAATGCTATGGCCAGGCATGGTGGTTCACGCCTATAATCTCAGCACTTTGGGAGGCCGAGGTGGGCAGATCACCTGAGGTCAGGAGTTCAAGACCAGCCTGGCCAACATATGGTGAAACCCCGTCTCTACTAAAAATACAAAAATTAGCTGGGTGTGGTGGCGCACGCCTATAGTCCCAGCTGCTTGGAAAGCTGAGGCAGTAGAATCACTTGAACCCAGGAGGTGGAGGTTACAGGGAGCCGAGATCGCACCACTGCACTCCAGTCTGGGTGACAGAGTGAGACTCCATCTCTCAAAACAACAGCAACAACAACAAAAGAAATAATGCTGAAAAAAAAAAAAATCCTGGTCAGGCATGATGGCTCACACCTGTAATCCCAGCACTTTGGGAGGCTGAGGTGGGTGGATTACCTGAGCTCAGGAGTTCCAGATCACCCTGGGCAACATGGTAAAACCCTGTCTCTGCAGAAAAAGAAAAAAAAAAAATCTTCACATATAATTATTTGCATGTCTTATGGATATATGAGGGCAAAAATAAATTACTAGAGATAGAACTGCTGGAACAAAGTGTATGTGCATTTTAAATTTTGATTAGCATTGCCAGATTCTCTCCAGAAAGACTCTATCAATTTATCCACCTCACCAATAGTGTAAAAGAAGTCTCTGTTTCCTCATATTTTTCATACAGGTGACGTGATGTACAGACTTGAGAACCATTATATTAGGTTATATATGATTTGTTAAAGTTTGAGAATTAATGACATGTTGCCTGTGTATGTCCAGTTTTATTACTAGACTTTAGGTCAAAGTAGGACATTTCAGGCTTCCTGTCTGAGGAAGAGTGTCATTATTAAGCTGTTATGCCTTAAACATCAAACACAGATATGTTACAAATTCTCTTTCTACTCAATGGAAGATTCTTCATTCTACTCAAATATTGGTACCATAACACTCATTTTTGGCAAGACACTTTGCTTTATATCTCTATGCTCTCTATCCTAAAGACAGAGTCTTTATTAAGTATTTGTTTTTATTTTTATTTCTTAGAGAAGGGGTCTCCTTATGTCATTCAGGCTGGACTCCAACTCCTGGGCTCAAGTGATCCTCCTGCTTCAGCCTCCCAAGTAGCTGGGACTGCAGGCATGTGCCAGCATACCCAGCTAAGCACTTCAAGTACAGATAATGCATTAAAGAGAGAAACAAAACTAGTATGTGACAAGAGGCGTTTTAGAAATAAAAGAATTTTGTGGAGAATAATCCAAATTTAAGACCAAGAAATTTATGTAATGCTTTAATTCCAATGTAACCTAATTATTTATCTTAATGACAACCTTTTCTTCAGACAAGAGGCTTAAAATGTCCTACTTCAACCTCTTCTCTAGGTGAAGTCAACAATTAAGACACCACTTTCCTTAGGCTACCTTATTTGGCTGGGTGTTAAAGCAAAACACACCGGCATTTCCCATGGTTTCTAATTTTAATTTAAGCTACTTCTTATTATTTATTTTAATCACAAAGAAGTAATTCATGAGCATCCACAAGAACAGACAGTACTCCTGCTTAACCCCTACAAGTAAAATGACAAACATTTTTCTTTATATATTGCTTGGGAGAAAGTCTCTAGTTATACAACAAACCTGCTGCTCTAAATACACTCACTACAATAACAACAACAACAAAAGCACATTTAAATTACAACCAAGTGACAGGATGTCATACTGACCAGAGTCTAGCAATAATTACAAAGATGTTACTTACTACGTCATTTTCCAAAGCCTCAAGTTCCTCATTGGCTGTGAGTTCACCTGCATCCCAGGGCTCCAGGTCCTTCTCTTTGTGTTCGCCATTCACTTTAGCACTGATAGCAGAGTCAGTAAAAGCATCTGCAAAGAATGGTTTTGGTTGAAAGTTTATATAATCTGGCAATCAGTTACACTCACACACGTGAATTACCAACAAAGACATATGTTAAAAAACAATTACGAAAAATGAATTTCACATAATTGTTTAACTTAAAATCTAACAGAAACATTTATTGAACATAATTTAGGTTGATGAAAACAAAAGACCAATGCACTATAATAAAGGTAAACTTAAAACTTATGTATGTGAAGATAAACTGCTATCTAAACTGATACGGAATATATAGTATTCAGTAAAAGTATGCTTTCACGTTTAATTTAGCAAATGGAATCACAGATGACTATCAGTAAAGGTATTTTCTTTTCATATAATTTTAAGCCACACGAAGCATTTTTTTTTTTTTTTTGAGATAGAGTCTCGTTCTGTTGCCCAGGCTGGAATGCAGTGGCGTGATCTCGGCTCACTGCAACCTCTGCCTCCCGGGTTCAAGCGATTCTCCTGCCTCAGTCTCCCGAGTAGCTGGGACTACAGGTGTGTACCACCACGCCCGGATAATTTTTTGTATTTTTAGTAGACGGGGTTTCACCGTGTTAGCCAGGCTGGTCTTGATCTCCTGACCTAGTGATACCCCCACCTTGGCCTCCCAAAGTGCTGGGATTACAGGCATGAGCCACCATGCCCAGCCCACATGAAGCATATTTTAATATATTGACATAATTCATTAAATTATATTACAGGTAATTACTCTGCATGTCTCAGAAGTGACCAAGAAAATTTCTGGCCAGATGTGGTGGCTCATGCCTGTAATACCAGCACTTTGGGAGGCCCAGGCAGGTGGATCATGAGGTTAAGAGATCGAGACCATCCTGGCCAACATGGTGAAACCCTCTCTCTACTAAAAATACAAAAATTAGTTGGGCATGGTGGCACATGCCTGTAGTCCCAGCTACTCGGGAGGCTGAGGAAGGAGAATCGTTTGAACCCGGGAGGTGGAGGTTGCAATGAATGGAGATCACGCCACTGTGCTCCAGCCTGGCGACAGAGTGAGACCCTGTCTCAAAAAAAAAAAGAAAAAGAAAATTTCTATCAATCCATCAAAAATATCTCTTTTTTTTTTTTTCTTTTTTGAGATGGAGCTTGCTCTTTCACCCAGACCGGAGTGCAGTGACACCATCTCGGCTCCCTGCAACATCCACCTTCCAGGTTCAAGGGAATCTCCTGCCTCAGCCTCCCAAGTAGCTAAGATTACAGGCGCCCACCAACACGCCCAGCTAATGTTTGTATTTTTAGCAGAGACAGGGTTTCACCATGTTGGCCAGGCTGGTCTCGAACTCCTGACCTCAGGTGATCCACCCACCTTGGCCTCCCAAAGTGCTGGGATTACAGGTGTGAGCAACCATGCCCGGCCTAAAATATCTCTTTTGTTTAATGGATGCACTAATTAGATATACCTTCGGAGTACTTGCAGCCAAATATATGTGGATTTTGTTTTTAACTTTCCATATTCATGTCTATGTACAGTGGTCAATATCCCAGCAAACTCTTGCCATTAGTAAATGAAGCCATTCTAAGTGGTTTAACCCCTCCCAGAACCCACTTCTTCATATATAACCACTCTGCTACAAAGTTCAGGCCCTACAGTATTACCTGTCTCAGAAAGTTCAGGTAGCAGGCATACCTGGACTTCCTATTAACACACTCTCACTTTGTGTCCTCTTCTCTTCTACTAATGTTATTGAAGAGTACTGACTTATGAAAGCAAATGTAGCATCCACATGTTAGCTGACCATACTGCTGTCTGGCACAGGAAATTTTCTCTAGTTGGGAGTTAGACTCAGCTAAATAAAGGCCCACTGGGCAATGATGGCACTAGGAAACGCTCTGTAGATACAGGCTTGCATTTAAATGACTGGACCCATAGGGTACCACCTACTACGAACTAAGGAGTAATACTTCTGCTGATCTGGCTCTGCTGAGGAATATAAGCTCCCAGCCACTGTTCCTTCCCAGTACTGTAAGTTGCCACTAAGAGGAGGAAGGGACGAATCAACAACTAAACACACAATACTCCTACAAAAGAGGTTATTCCAGATGGATTTTTTATTTGGCAATGCTTCTATAACTGTCATTGTCTCCCTAATGGGCAAAGTGATGCCAAAATAAGAAATCTGAGCCAGCAAATTTAAGCATGGAACTTCAAGCCTAGCTAATTCTAACCTCTTCTTATCCCAAACTAGGTGTGGGTAGGTATGAGTGTGTGTACCTGTACATCAGGGAATAAAAGCATTAATCCACCTCTGGGCTTAGCTGCCAGCTCCACCAGCAGCACTACTCCCATTGCTAGCAATTCTAAGAGCCAAGAGTGTGCTGAGGGAGTTCCCCAGAGCAGCAGGACTCAGCTGGGGGTGGAATGGAGCATTCACTAGAAATGGCTGAATTTTGGAAAATCTCTCTAAGAGATTCTAAGAGACTAATGCTATCTTACCAACACCTCATCTTTGCTGAAAGCTACTGATGGCACTAGAAATCTGACCTTATTTGATACTAACCTGAATCACGTTCTTCTCTACATTATCTTAAAGTTATGTGGATTGCTGGCAAAAATTAATTTAGCCATGTGTATTTTCAAGAATGTAAAATGTTCCAAGAAAACATCAAATAATAACCTACCTTAAGATCCTGAAATCCCTTTAATTCTCACAACACTAGACAAAAAACTACACTATAGGAAAATTCCAAACGAGTCATATTATCTTCTGGAAGAAGCAACAGGACTGTTCCTTTACGTCTAAGATCCTGTTAATGTCTTAATCATACTAGTTTTTGAAAAGCACACATTTAAGTAAATAAAGCATTTATTTAGATAGAAGCTCAGTATTAAAAACAATACTCTTTTGATTCAAGAAATTAAAGCTCGAAGCAGCTAGAGATTTTTATAGAACCATATAAACGGATTTTTTTCTCACTACAGGGTATGTGTGTGTGTGTGAAAATATTTAGAAAGTCTTGAGTCAAGCCGTCTTCAAACCAAAAGATCCCAAATGTACACACAAAGTAGCTTAAATATGTTTTTACAGTATTATTCTAAACAAATTTCTAAAAGGATCCCCAAGTAAGAGCCAGTGTGGAAAAGCAAGCAAGCGTCTAAAACTTTAGGACCCAGGCTTTATTCCACTGACCAGAATTTAGGTTGTGTTAAGAGGGCATTATTAATAAATCTATTTTTCTCAATGCTACATTTTAATCTTAAATCTTCTGTTTACAATACCAAACTTTTTTTAAAAAAAAGTATTCACAGGTTATGTAGCAGTCTGTCGCTTTCGAGACAGAAATGGGGAAGGGGAAAACACAGAAGTGTGATTCTATAAAGAATGATATTCCTTGGTTTTAAAATTTCACCAAAAGTAGCTCTTTCTAAAGATGAGTAAAGGACTTAGGGGAAGATGTGCAGAAGTGGAGAGTTAGCACGAAATGAGGCTATATCATCAGGATGCTGAGAAAATCCCTGGCTATAAGTAATGCATTTCAGGCCAACATTGCATCATTAGCTAGAAAGGAAGCAAGATCTGGGTATCCATTCTGCACTATTAATAATATCCACTATCGTAAATTCTGATTTGTTTTACAGTGGTTACAAGTTTGGATTTTTGTTTCTGTTTCTTTAAAAAAAATTTGTTTTTGTTTTTGTTTTTTCAGAGATGGGGTCTTTGTCACTCATGCTGGAGTGTAGTGCCGCAATCACTGCAGCCCTGGGCTCAAGCAATCCTCCCACCTCAGCCTCCCAAGTCGCTGAGATTACAGGCATGAGCCACTATGCCCAGCAAGTCTGGATTTTAAAAAAAAAAAACACTGTTGGTAGTAAATAGTACAATGTTGTAACCAGGATTCCTGCAAAGTTGAGAAAAAAACAACTGGCTCTAATCTACAGGCAACTGTGGGAATTTGCATGCAGATTTTACCAATGCCATAAGTCAAAGAATATTAATTTTCCATCATCCCCTATGGTGAGAAACAAAAGCATTGTAACAACAAGATGCAAGAATACAACGTGACTATTAGAAAAGTGTTACCTGTTTCTGAAGGAACTACAGGTATAGAGAGAAAAAAGGAAAAACATAAAAACCATCAGATGAGATGATAAAGAATTAGTTTTTCAATTTATAAAAGCCTCTAGACTAGCAGGCGATGTTGGAGGAAGAAACAAAATTGTATCACCTCCAGCCCCTGTATCCCACCTCCATGCTACCCCCACAGCAGTGGGCTCTCAACACCTTCTCTTCTGATTCTGGGCAGAAACTTAGTCATTTTGGGCCGGTGATGCCACCTGCTGGTGGTCATAAAGAAATGTCTCGACCAACGTGTGAACCTCTTCTGGGTATCCCCAGCCCCATACCCAGGAAACAGAGTACATATTCAGCTTCTCAATCTTTCCTCTTTTACCTCTGAGCCAATAATGCCTCTGAAAAATCATTCAAACTTGTCTGAGCATTTTTTAAAGGGCCAGAATAATGGTCAAATAACTAAAATGGTAGTGTTAAACATTAGAAATAAATATACTTAAATGTATAAAAACTATAAAATGACATAAAACTGGATGAAATAATCATTAACATCAGATTTAACATCACAAACCCTCAAATGTGCTTCCAGAGAAGTCATCAAAATCCTCAGCTAACCATTTCTTCTCAACTAAATCAGCCTTTTCTCAAACATCAAAGTTCCATATAAACCTAAAAAATCATATTGTTTTGATCAATTCCTATTCCTGCGGCACTTTCAACAACTTTTTAAGACAGTTTCTCATTATGTGTCATCGTTATATGTGGACCAATCTATATACTATATAAAGTATCAGTATATAGATTGGTATCAGTGGGACTATTTAGTCATTTTTAGCACTTACTGAGTACCTACAATGCACTCATAAGTCTGGACGAGGTGGGGATTCACATTTGACTGATACAATTCCCAGCATTTCCTGTAGGAACTAGGAGCTCCTGGGTGTAAGAGACTAGTTACAGAAATGAAGCAAATCTTTTAGAATCGAATACAATGAGTGCTACAATACAATTAAAAACAAAGTTCTAAGGAACAAAAGGCTCTGGGCTTTCTAAAGTGACAGTGACAGCCTATCAGCAACAGCTGATCTAGGCCTTCAAGAACACAAGAAGAAAATAAGAAAGGGGAAGTAAAATGGTTCCAACATAGACTGGAGTGGCATTAAAAATACGTGTATAGCTGGGAGCGGTGGCTCACGCCTGTAATCTCAGCATTTTGGGAGGCCCAGTCAGGCAGATCACGAGGTCAGGAGATCAAGACCATCCTGGTTAACACGGTGAAACCCCATCTCTACTAAAAATACAAAAAGTTAGATGGGCGTAGTGGCCGGCGCCTGTAATCCCAGCTACTCGGGAGGCTGAGGCAGGAGAATGGTGTGAACCAGGGAGGCAGAGCTTGCAGTGAGCAGAGATCGCGCCACTGCACTCCAGCCTGGACAACAGAGCGAGACTCCATCTCAAAAAAACAAAAAACAAAAAAATGTGTATAGGCGGGGTGCAGTGGCTGACGCCTGTAATCCCATCACTTTGGGAGGCCGAGGCGGGCGGATCACCTGAGGTCCGGAGTTCGAGACCAGCCTGACCAACATGGAGAAACCCCCATCTCTACTAAATATAGCTGTGCATGGTGGTGCATGCCTGTAATCCCAGCTGCTCGGGAGGCTGAAGCAGGAGAATCACTTGAACCTGGGAGGCAGAGGCTGCGGTGAGCCGAGATCGCACCATTGCACTCCAGCCTGGGTAACAAGAGCGAAACTCTGTTTAAAATTAAATCAACAGGCTGGGCACAGTGGCTCACATCTGTAATCCCAGCACTTTGGGAGGCTGAGGCGGGTGGATCATGAGGTCAAGAGATCGAGACCATCCTGGCCAACATGGTGAAACCCTGTCTCTACTAAAAATACAAAAATTAGGTAGGCGTGGTGGTACACGCCTATAGTCCCAGCTACTCGGGAGGCTGAGGCAGGCGAATTGCTTGAACCTTGAATTGCTTGAACTACTAGGGAGGCGGAGGTTGTAGTGAGCCAAGATTGCGCCACTGCACTCCAACCTGGCGAGAGCGAGACTCCGTCTCAAAAAATAAATAAATAAAAAATATGTGTATAAACATTTTCTGAATTGTACACAAGAACACAGGCTTCCCCAGGGAAGTGGGACTGGGGGTTAGAGAGGAGATTATCTTTTCATTGAATACTCATCTGTTCTAACTGAATTGTATACTACGAGCATATACTACTACACCATGTATTATACAGATTATATTAAAGACTATAATACTGAAGAATAACACAAAGAAACAAGTTGGGGATAAGAAACACAGTTAAGGGTGCAGGATGTATGGACTGGAACAACAAAACCAAGGGCACAGGTGGAGCCACGCTCCTCAGGCTAGAATGGGGTAGGGGTATGATGACAAAAGAGGACTGTGGGGAGCCTCTAGATTAGGGATTCTTAGCCTTTTTCTTAATCCATGGGCCCCTTCAATATTTTAGGGAAGCCTATGAAACCGTATTCAGAATGTACTTAAATTCGTAAAATACACAGGAAATCAAATGAGAACAAGTAACAATGAAATGCAGTTATCAAAAACTAAAAAAATCTGTTGGCATAGTAACATACATGTTCTTAATTAAAGCATTAAATATTAAGATCCAGTAACAGGTTTAATAACTATTATAAATTTAAAGAGGTGATGAACATACATAATAATTTGAAGCCTGGTGCAGTGGCACATGCCTATAATCCCAGCTACTCAGGAGGCTGAGGTGGGAGGACTGCCTGAGCCCACAAGTTCAAGGCCAGAGCGGATACCATATCAAGATTCTGTTTCTAAAAATAATTTGAGGCCGGGTGCGGTGGCTCACACCTGTAATCCCAGCACTTTGGAAGCCAAGGCAGGCGGATCACTTGAGGTCAGGAGTTGGTGACCAGCCTGGCCAATATGGTGAAACCCCTTCTCTACTGAAAATACAAACATTAGCTAGGCGTGGTGGTGTGCGCCTGTAATCCCAGCTACTCAGGAGGCTGAGGCAGGAGAATCGTTTGAACCCAGGAGGCAGAGGTTGCAATGGGCTGAGACTGCACCACTGCACTCAGCCTGGGAGACAGAGCGAGACTCCATCTCAAAAATATATATACATAAAATAATAATTTGAGATACCCATAACATCAAGCGATATGAAATTAACTGAGTTCTATAGGTGCTTAAGTCATAAATACTGCTAATACTACTAGTTGTTTGTTGCCCATATTTTTAAATGGCAAAAAATGCTAAATTTCACTTGAAGGTTAGTGTAAATAAAGATGTAAATTTCTCTTCATCCAAGGTCATCAATGCCCTGAATTCTCTCCACAAATTCTTTGAGAATCCACAGATCCAGGTGAAGAATCCTGCCTCTTTGTACTGACAAGCAGGAAGAAAGAGCCTCTGCCATGAATAAAGCAAATAGGTGAGGGACTGGAAGGAGTGGTCATCAAGGCTGCAGAAATAGGTTTAAGGAAAAAAAAAAAAAAAAAAGTCTGCTGAACTCTTCTGAGGCTCCAGCAAGAGCTGGAAACCCTACATTCCTAACTAATCAGCCCCCCAGTGGGACTTTCTCCAGCCACACCCAGCAGGCTGGATTAGGAGTAGACAGAGTTTAAGATCTTAGAGGAACAGAGAACACTGTGAGGGGCAAGAAGAGAATAGAAGTGTAAAGTTTATAGCTGTGGTCAGAGTAGATCTTGAAAAGCATTCTGGAAGAGAAGCAGTTCCTTCCGAGTGATGACACAGTCATGAAAGCAGGATGCTACAACGCCGTGGAGGTGAAAGGGATGTATGGAACAGAACTTAGGAGGCTATGTTTCCTAAAGAATAGTGTTCTCCAAATGATCCATTTGAAAATAAATTATTCCAACACACACTACAGTTGTCCTTCAGCATCTATGGGGGATTGGTTCTAATACCCCCTAGGGATACCAAAATCCAGGGATGCTTAAGTCCCTGATACAAAGTGGTGTAGTATTTGCATACTCTCGCATACTTTAAACCTCTAGGTTACCTATAATACCTAATACAAAGTAAATGCTACGGAAATAGTTGTGGTACTGCTTAAGGAATAATGACAAGAAAAAAAGTCTGTACATGTTCAGTATAGATGCTTTTGATTTCCCATATAATTTTTTTTTTTCTTTTCAGACAGTTTTTTTTCTTTTCTTCTCACACTCTGTTGCGCAGGCTGGAGTGCAGTGACACAATCTCAGCTCATGGAAACCTCTACTTCTCAGGTTCAAGCAAATTGCTTGTCTCAACCTCTCGAGTAGCTGGGATTACACATGTGCACTACCATGGCCAGCTAATTTTTTGTACTTATAGTAGAGCTAGGGTTTTGCCATGTTGGCCAGGCTGGTCTTGAACTCCTGACCTCAGGTGATCCATCTGCCTCAGCCTCCCTAAGTGCTGGAATTACAGGTGTGACCCACAGCCCCAGCGTATTTCCCATATATTTTGGATCCATGGTTGGTTGAATTCACAGCTGTGTAACCCATGGATAGAGAGGGCTGACTGTATTTGCAAACTAACATTTGAAGACATCAGTGTCCCAGCCACAAAACTAAGAAATGAATGGTAATTACAATTTTAATCATTGTCTATGGTATCATGCCTATGTAAGAGAAAAAAAAACAGTTATTCCCTGGTTTAGGAGTATAAAATTGGGTCTAGTGAGTATAAAAATATTTTTTAAAATATAAAAACATAAAAATATAATAAATATAAATAAATTAAGTTTAAAAATATAAGTATTTCAGTGGTGGCTCACACTTGGGAAGCCAAGGCAGGTGGACTGCCTGAGCTCAGGAGTTCGAAACCAACCTGGGCAACACGGCAAAATCCTGTCTCTACCAAAAATATAAAAAATTAGCCAGGCATGGTGATGCGCACCTGTGGTCCCAGGTACTCGGGAGGCTGAGGTGGGAGAATCACTTGAGCCTGGGAGGAGGAGGTTGCGGTGAGCCAAGATCTGCATCACCACACTCCAACCTCAGTGATAGAGTGAGACCCCGTATATAAAAAATATATACATGTAAACTTTTCAAAAATCAATCAAAGGAATATATATATGTTGAACACCTGTTATCTGTAAGTCACTGTATATATACTAGACACCATGGTTGGGGGGGACGCATTTCCTTAATTCTATAAATTTGTTTTCTGAACTCCAGAAAAGTTTAATGCATTGGGAGAGAGAAAATATACCGGTAAAAAAGACACTACATACTGCTTCGTGAAGATGAGTGTTTGGTACATGATGGAGACCACTGGTTCTCCAACTGTACTTCATGACACCCTATGATGTCTTCAGGACACCCCAGAAGGCAAGGGAAAGTGGAGTAAGTAGGGAGCTAGGACATCACTAGCTCTTCTTCCAACCAAAGCCTTGTTTTAACTAAGAGTCAGCATGGGATCTCATCAGAGGGAAAAAAACTGACCTATTC
This sequence comes from Homo sapiens, assembly GCF_000001405.40. Classification (NCBI taxonomy): domain Eukaryota; kingdom Metazoa; phylum Chordata; class Mammalia; order Primates; family Hominidae; genus Homo; species Homo sapiens. The sequence continues at coordinate 111,534,830 of NC_000012.12, forward strand.
TATACTAAAAAGAAAATGTTAAAGTCTGGGCATGGTGACTCACACCTGTAATCCCAGCACTTGGGGAGGCTGAGATGGGAGGATCAAGTGAGCCCAGGAGTTCAAGATCAGCCTGTGCAACACAGTGAGACATCTGTCTCTACAAAAACTAAACTAAAAAAAACAAACAAAAAAATTAGCCAGGTAGGGTGGTGCATGGGGAGGCTGAAATGGGAGAACAGCTTGAGCCCAGGAAGCAGTAAGCCATGATGGCGCCACTGCATTCTAGTAGGGGTGACAGAGAGAGACCCTTTCTCAACAAATAAATACATACAAACATAAATTAATTTAAAATGTAAAGTTTAACAGCCATTGTTACAGGCAATAAAAACAAACCACAATGAGCAGGGAAGGTCAGAGAAGACTCTAAAAAGGACAGATGTGGGCTTGGTTTTGAAAAAGTATCTAAAACTCTAGTTAGTAAGGTAGATTCTTCACGTTGGGATTAAATCCAGGAGTAAAAGAAGAAGGCACAGGGGGCCGCGGTGGCTCACGCCTGTAATCCCAGCAATTTGGGAGCCCAAGGCAGGTGGATCACAAGGTCAGGAGTTCGAGACCAGCCTGGGAAACACAGTGAAACCCATCTCTACTAAAAATACAAAAGTTAGCAGGGCATGGTGGCGCGCGCCTGTCGTCTCAGCTTCTCGGGAGGCTCAGGCAGGAGAATCACTGGAACCCGGGAGGCAGAGGTTGTGGTGAGCCAAGATCGCGCCACTGCACTCCAACCTGGGCAACAGAGTGAGACTCCAACTCAAAAACAAACAAAAAAAGAAGGCACAAAGTTGGTGATGTCTAACACACAGAACATGCCAGCTTAGTAGGTCAATAAGTAGATTAACATTGGGAAATAGGCCGGGCGCGGTGGCTCACGCCTGTAATCCCAGCACTTTGGGAGGCCGAGGTGGGCGGATCACGAGGTCAGGAGATCGAGACCATCCCGGCTAAAACGGTGAAACCCCGTCTCTACTAAAAATACAAAAAATTAGCCGGGCGTAGTGGCGGGCGCCTGTAGTCCCAGCTACTTGGGAGGCTGAGGCAGGAGAATGGCGTGAACCCAGGAGGCGGAGCTTGCAGTGAGCCGAGATCCCGCCACTGCACTCCAGCCTGGGCGACAGAGCGAGACTCCGTCTCAAAAAAAAAAAAAAAAACATTGGGAAATAATGAGAGATAAGGTTGAAAAAGAGAAGTTCCACTGGGAAGGGCCCTGTATAGCATCCCAACTTTATTCTGTAAACAACAGTGGCCACTGAAGATTTTGAGCAAGGGATGAGATGATCTAATAAAAGCAATGTCTAAGAATTTCTTTATGTCAATGCCCAAGATTGACTGAAAATGAGAAATCTGGAAGACAAGTTGTTTAGGAGATTATAACAATATTTGCCTTGGTGGAAGAAAACAAGGACCACACTTATTTTCTATTTTCACTGTTAAATCTTTTGGTACACACGTTTTGAACTTTTTACCATGTGTGCATATATAATTTTTAAAGTAAAGTTGTAAACAGAAAAAAAAAATCTACAGTGAGATACTACTTCTTACTCTCCCACTAGGATGGGTATAATCAAAGAGACAGACAATAACAAATGCTGGTGAGGATGTGAAAAACATAAGAAACCTCAGACACTGCTAGTAGGATTGTAAAATGATACAGCTACGTTGGAAACAGCTATGTAGGATTGTAAAATGATACAGCCACTATGCCCAGGAAATCAGCCTGTGCAACAGTGAGACCCCAACTCTATTTTCAAAAAATAATAAAAAGAAAACAAAACAGCCCAACAGTTATGTAAAAGGTTCAACATAGATTTAGCATACGAGCCAGCAATTATCTTGCAGGTATGTGTATGTATGTATGAGTATGCATACACACACACCCCCATGAGAATTGAAAACCTATGTCCACACGCAGTTTTTTTTTTTTTTTTTTTTTTTTGAGATGAAGTTTCACTCTGTCACCCAGGCTGGAGTGCAGTGGCGTGATCTCGGCTCACTGTAGCCTCGGCTTCCCAGCTTCAAGTGATTCTCTGCCTCAGCCTCCCTAGTAGCTGAGATTACAGGTGCACGCCACCACACCCAGCTCATTTTTGTATTTTTAGTAGAGACAGGGTTTCACCATGTTGGGCAGGCTGGTCTCGAACTCCCGGCCTCAAATGATCTGCCAGCCCCAGCCTCCCAAAGTGCTGGGATTACAGAGGCATGAGCCACCACACCCGGCCCACACAAAAACTTTAAAAGTCACTGTTCGCAGCAGGATTATGTATAAATCAAAAGGTGGAAACAATGAAAATGTCCACCAACTGATGAATAAACAAAATGTAGTGTACCTGTGTAACTGTATAATGGAATATTTGGCCATGAAAAAGAAAGAAGTACTAATACATGCTACAGCATGGAAGAAACATACTAAGTGAAACAAGCCTATCATAATATATATGGCCAGATGCGGTGGCTCATGGCTGCAATCCCAGCACTTTGGGAGTCCGAGGTGGGCAGATCACTTGAGGTCAGGAATTCGAGACCAGCCTGGCCAACATGGTGCAACCCCGTCTTTACTAAAAATATAAAATTAGTAGGTGTGGTGGCAGGCGCCTATAGTCCCAGCTACTCAAGAGGCTGAGGCAGGAGAATCGCTTCAACCTGGGAGGCAGAGGATGCAGTGAGCTGCAATCATGCCACTGCGCTCCAGCCTGGGCGACACAGTGAGACTCTGTTTCAAAAAAAAAAAAGAAAAAAAAAGGCTATATATTATATGATTCCATTAATACGCAATGTCCAGAATGGGCAAACCTATGAAGACAATAAATCAATAGTTGCCTGGAGCTGGGGAAAATTGAAACAAACAGAGAGGAACTGCTAAGGGGTTCAGAGTTTCTTTTCAGGGTGATGAAAATGTAAATTGATTGTAGTGATGGTTGCACAATGCTGTGAATATATTTTAAAAAATGGGCTGGGAGCAGAGGTTCATGCCTGTAATCCCAGCACTTTGGGAGGCTGGGGCAGGAGGATCATTTGAGGCCCAGAGTTTGAGACCAGCCTGGGCAACATAATGAGACCTCATCAAACAAAAAATAACAACAAAAATTAGCCAGGAGTGGTGATACACATCTGCAGTCCCAGCTTAATCAGGAGGCTAAGGTGAATCACCTGAACCCATGAGTTTGAGGTTATGGTGAGCTACGATGGCGCCACTGCACTCCAGCCTGGACAACAAAATGAGACCCTGTCTCAAAATAGAAGAAAAAAAAAAACCTAATTTTCTCCCTATCTCAAATGAATGATTAAATTTTCTAGCACTACGATAAAGTGAGATAAAATAGAAAAAAAATCCCTAAGAGAAAAATATATCCTATTTAAGTAATAAAAAGCAGTATTTATTTTCCTTACTAATACATTCTGTTTGTGAGAGGTACAAATTGGATTCTTCAGTTAAAATTCAAGGGAAAACATTTATAAGATAAAATACATCATCTTAGTTTGACTAAGCCCATTAAATAAGATAAAAGGCACTGCAATTAGTAACCTTTTTTTTTTTGAAACCAGGGTCTCACTTGGCTCACTGCAGCCTCAATCTCCCTGCGCTCAGATGATCCTCTCACCTCTGCCACCCGAATAGCTGGGACTACAGGTACATACCACCGTGTCTGGCTACTTTTTGTATTTTTTTTGTAGAAACGGGGTTCCACCATATTGCCCAGGCTGGTCTTGAACTACTGGGCTCAAGCAATTCATCTGCCTTGGCCTCCCAAAGTGCTGAGATTACAGGAATGAGCCACTGTACCCAGCCAGTAATTTTATGTTTTTAAAGCAATTTTCTTAAGCTCTAAATTAGCTAACTTAAAATTTGAACTGAAAATTGTTTAGAAATGGTATCAGTTAAAATGGTGCTGTATTTTACTTCAAAATCAACTAAAAAATAATAAAAAACTCAAACTTACTAATCAGATTCCTCTGAAAGCTGAGTGAAGATCAATAGCCCATGCTCTACAGAATCAAATATACATCAAATTCTACAGCAAAGCCTGAGTGGTGCAAAACTAACAAGAACAAGAAAAAATATGGAAATTCACTTCATGAGGTTTGCTGTATTTAAAAAAACAAGGTGACAGATTCCACGTACGTAATACTAGATTGCTGATTCCCACACTATCTCCTAAAAAGATCAAAAGAAGTTTTAGAAAAGATTCCAATACAAAGATACTGTTTATGGGTGAACATTCTGTTTTCATTTTCTCCATTAGGCTTCTGGATCAGGATCTATTTTAAGTGGGGAGGAGGAGGAAAAGCTAGCTACCTGAAAGAAATTTGTGCCATCTCAAAATATGAAATTAGCCTAGGCCTGGTGTGATAGCTTAAGCCTGTAATCCGAGCACTTTGGGAGGCTGAGGCAAAGAGGATTGCTTGGGCTCAGGAGTTCAAGACAGCCTGGGCAACATAGTGGGACCTCGTCTCTACTTAAAAAAGAAAAATTCTAAAAAGAGAGTGAAAGAGACAGAGAGAAAGAGAGAAATAAGGAGAAATCAGTCCAATCATCGTTTGAGCACTTCTTTATAAAAGGTACTATTTTCAGCTCAGAAGTTAAAGAGAAAGAAAAAAAGAAGGCCGGGTGCGATGGCTCATGCCTGTAATCCCAGCACTTTGGGAGGCCGAGGCGGATGGATCACGAGGTCAGGAGATTGAGACCACCTTGGCTAACACGGTGAAACCCCGTCTCTACTAAAAATACAAAAAATTAGCCGGGCGCTGTGGCGGGTACCTCTAGTCCCAGCTACCCGGGAGGCTGAGGCAGGAGAAAATGGCATGAACCCGGGAGGCGGAGCTTGCAGTGAGCCGAGATCGCGCTACTGCACTCCAGCCTGGGCAACAGAGCAAGACTCTGTCTCAAAAATAAAAAATAAAAATAAAAAAAGAAAAAAGAAGAAAATGATTCTGTAGAAGAACTAAGACAAAAAAAGTAAATTCAGAAATGTTCAAGAATCAAAAAACAGAATTTAGGAATTGAAATGCCAATACTATTAGTGAAGAATAGTAGTCATTTTATAACAACTTATTCTCAAACCTATGGCAAAAGTGTTCAGAATTAGGTTAAGGAAAAGTCAGTAAAATGAAATTAATTCCAATTCTTACAGCTGTACAAATATCTTTTCTGTTTCCCTGGCAAATATGTAAAACATTTTATAGATTCGGATTCTTTTCTAATAAAAAACAGAACAACTGTTCAAGTACACATGCCCACTTAATATTCTTTCCCAGGAGTATGAAATAGAAATAGAACAAAATAGAAATTAGAGATAATTTATCCACATTCCTTCTCTTGCTTTATTACTAGTTTTAATATATCTGCATGCATAAGACTCCATTGAAACCATCCAAGACAAGAGAAAAAAATAATACTAAAACTAGATAGTAAGTATATTAGCATTACACAACCCTATCAGTAAACAGTCTTACTGAAAATGTCCTGGAAACATATGCATTACTTACCTATTCTTTACCTAATAGAGAGTTTAAGAATGCTACTTGTTTTACTTAAACCATCCCACTAGCAGTGTTAAGTGTTTTGCAACTCCCTCAGTACCACTAAGTAGTAGTAATCTTTCTCACATTTACCATTCAGCGCAAGCTGATAGACAATCATATTCCACTGCTTTAAAACTGAATTTCTTTAAAAATACAATAAAATAAAAATAAACTGCATTTCTTAAATCATTACAAGTGAGGAGGGCCACCTTTTCATACATTCACTGGTCATTTTTAAAACTATTTTTCTACTTTTCCCAGTTTGTGGCATGTCTTTTTAAATGTATGGTACTTTTGGACACGTCTAAGTCTTTTTTTTTTTTTTTTTTGAGATGGAGTCACTCTGTCGCCCAAGCTGGAGTGATGTGGCACAATCTCGGCTCACTGCAACCTCCACTTCCCAAATTCAAGCAATTCTCCTGCCTTAGCCTCCTGAGTAGCTGGGATTACAGGCATGTGCTACCATGCCTGACTAATTTTTTTGTATTTTTAGTAGAGATGGGGTTTCACCAGGTTGACCAGGTTGGTCTCAAACTCCTGACCTCAAGTGATCCACCCGCTTTGGCCTCCCAAAGTGCTGGGATTACAAGCGTGAGCACCACACCCGGCCTAAATCTTTAATCTCTTTATAATCAAAGGTATCGATCTTTTACTTCATGATTTTTTTGCTCTGGTAGTCATGCTTATAAAGTCCTTCTCCACTCAAAATTAAACAAATTCACAGATTTGCTCCAGTGTAGTCTGGGTGTTGTTTTGTTTAATCACAGTTTTCTCATTAATCTATTTGGTTTTATTTATCAGTGTGAAGTAGGTATCTAATTTGTCCCCAATGTCCCAGAATCATTTACTGAATAATCCACCTTTCCTCCAGAATTAAAGTGCTATATTGCATATTAATAAAATACCCACATAAATTCAGTTTTGGATGCTCCATACGTAGCCACTGTGACAGTTATAATTCTTTTTTTTTTTTTTTTTTTTTTGAAACAGAGTTTTACTCTTGTTGCCCAGGCTGGAGTGCAATGGCGCGATCTCGGCTCACTGCAACCTCCACCTCCCGAGTTCAAGCGATTCTCCTGCCTCAGCCTCCCGAGTAGCTGGGACTACAGGTATGCGCCACCATGACCGGCTAATTTTGTATTTTTAGTAGAGACGGGGTTTCTCCATGTTGGTCAGGCTGGTCATGATCTGCCTGCCTCAGCCTCCCAAAGTGCTGGAATTATAGGCGTGAGCCACCGCACCCAGCTGACAAGTTATGTTTTAATTCTGACATATTTTGTAGGGCAAGTCCTCCTTTATGACTCTTGTGGAAAAAAATTTCCAAAGTTCTTCTGTTAATACACATAATCTAATAAGCTTTAGAATCATTTTGTCAATTTCTACAAAAACGGATATATATATATATATTATAAAAATTTTTTTTTTTTTGAGATGGAGTCACCCGGCTGGAGTGCAATCTCAGCTCACTGCAACCTCCACCTACGGGGTTCGAGTAATTCTCCTGCCTCAGCTTCCCAAGTAGCTGGTACCTGCCACCATGTCCAGATGATTTTTGTATTTTTAGTAGAGACAGGGTTTCACCATGTTGGCCAGGCTGGTCTCAAACTCCCGTCCTCAAGTGATCGGCCCACCTCAGCCTTCCAAAGTGCTGGGATTACAGGCGTGAGCCAACGTGCCCGGCCAAAACTGAATATATTATCTTTAGAGATTTATTTGAGGAAAATTGACAACGTTGTAGTATTAAATAATTCCATTCAAAGTATGGCATGTTTCCATTTAGCCAAATCTACTTTTATGTCTCCTTCAGCTGTGTCTTCATAAATCTTCAATTTATCCCCATGTCCTATGCTTATTTTTGTTTTTGAGACAGAGTCTGGCTCTGTCACCCAGGCTGGAGTGCAGCACCACCATCTCGGCTCATTGCAAACTCCGTCTCCTGGATTCAAGCGATTCTCCTGCCTCAGCCTCCCAAGTAGCTGGGATTACAGGTGCCCGTCACCTCGCCCAGCTAATTTTTGTATTTTTAGTAGAGCCATGTCGGCCAGGCTGGTCTCCAACTCCTTACCTCAGGTGATCCGCCACGCCTGGCTGGTTTGTTTTTGAGACAAGGTCTTGCTTGTCACCCAGCTGGAGTGCCGTGGCATAACCACAGCTCACTGCAGCCTTGACTTACTGGCTGCAAGTGAACCTCTCACCTCAGCCCACCAAGTAGCTGGGTTTACAGGAGTACACCACCACACCCGGCTAATTTTTGTACTTTTTGTAGAGATGGGGTTTTGCCAAGTTGCCAAGGCGAGTCTTGAACTCCTGAACTCATCCTCCCGCCTCAGCCTCCAAAAGTGTTGAAATTACAGGCATGAGCCACTGCACCTGGCCTATTTCTACACTTTGGATTCTGCTCCCATGTATCTTGAATCAACCTTACTCTTACTAGTACCACACAGTATTTTTTTATCGTTTGTCCAAATAAAATTCTATTTTATGCTAGAGGTTTTTATTTTTTTTATATTTAATAAATGAAGTTATTGTTCTGACTTTGGCAAACATGATAGGGTAGAGAATTTCTATATACTCTAAAAATTATAAAACATGTAACTTTAATAAATGGAAGATGACCATATCTTAATAAACATGTAATGCTTTTCTACTGTGTACCACGAACTATTCTGTTTAGCTTTCCATTACATAGATCCGTTCCACCTGTTTCTTTCTTTTAATCTCAATAATCTCTGTACTGCCTCCATACTGGCCTCAATAAGTGCCACTCTCCAGTTACTGCTTGGCCCCAGAATGAACACATATCTGTGTCTTAATAAACCACAGCAAAGTTGAGGCCGTAAACAGCTTTTCTAATGTCACGCCGTTCAGAAGAGATCCCTGTTTGTTACTCGTACTCTGTTACTGATACACTATCAAGACCAAAAAGACAACCATATGAGAACACAACAGCACACCAGAATAAAACAATCTGTAGAATTTTATTTCTCACTGTTCTCTAATTACACATTAACACTCCAACTTCTTCCAACTACTAAAATCTACACAATTCTTTTATTTTTTATTTTTGAGATGGAGTCTCGCTCTGTCACTCAGGCTGGAGTGCAGTGGTACGATCTCAGCTCATTGCAACCTCCACCTTCTGGGTTCAAATGATTCTCCTGTCTCAGCCTCCCGAGTAGCTGGGATTAGAGGCGCACACCAGCACACCAGGCTAATTTTTTTTGTAAAATCTAGACAATTATTTGCATCGCTGACTCCATTTGATATTCAATGTCATGCAGTACAACATTCCATTTTTCTTGAATTTATTCACGTGCTTTGCTATCTCTAACTCTAAAAATGCTTAGAATAGAGTACATGGCGTATATGAACTCCCTGAAGAAACTGTGAACACCATGAAATTACATTAGCGTGGGCACAGTGGCTTGCACCTATAATCCCATCACTTTTGAAGGCCAAGGTAGAGGATTGCTTGAACCCAGGAGGTAAAGGCCAGCCTGGGAAACATAGTGAGAACCAGTGTCTATAAAATATTTTTAAAAATTAGCCGGGCATAGCGGCGTGCACCTGTAGCCCCAGCTACTTGGGAGGCTGAGGTGGGAGAGTCGCTTGAGCCAGGAGGTCGAGGCTACAGTAAGCCATGATCACACCACTGCATTCCAGCCTGAGTGACAGAGCATGACCCTGTTTCTTTAAAAAAAAGAAAAAAAATTAATTTTTAAAAGAATTACATGTAAAATCTACATGTGTGTAAATTTTTCTAGGGTGAGGGTATACAGTTTCACTAGGTACACAGTTTCACTAGGTTCTCAAAAGGGACCCAAAATAGATTCTTGTATTTCTCCGTACTGTCCATAGCAACAAGCACAGCAAGGAACACATCCCAGAGCTCTCTAAGTATCTGCTGGATGACTATATATGTAAGACCACTTACAGCTTTTTCATTCTTTCCATAAAATAATGCTTCTACAAAAGTGTATTAAGGCACTGAATTTCATTTATTCAAACACATTTATATTGAGCCTGTACTATGTGCCAAAGCACTATACTAGACCATGAGAATAAATAATAAAGACAGTATCACTGTCTTTACTTGGAGCACAAAGAGCTCAAACTGTAACAGGGGAGACAAGCATATAATTTTAATACAACATGGTATAAGGGCAATGATACACACATGATAGGAGGGAACTTGTGTGTGGTAGCTGGCAGTGTGTGTCATGTGGCAAGAGCAGCAGGCAAAGAAACAAACACTGGGGACACACATCTAAGGGGTGTGTGAAGGAAAAGAAGCCCAGGAATGAGGCAGGGAAGGAATGATCAATAAACATAAAAAATACAGAAGAGGAAATTCTGAAGGAGGGTGAAACCAACATTCAAGTGCAGCAATAAAGACAGAAAAAGATTCCAAAGGACCTGGCAGTTAGAGGTTAATCGTAGCCTTAGGCAGGATAATGGCTAGAAGAATTCAGGATTAAAAAGAATCCTTTTGGGCCCAGTGCGGTGGCTCATGCCTGTAATCCCAGCACTTTGGGAGGCCGAGGCAGATGGATCACAAGGTCAGGAGATCGAGACCATCCTAGCTAACACGGTGAAACCCCATCTCTACTAAAAATACAAAAATTTAGCTGGGCGTGGTGGCAGGTGCCTGTAGTCCCAGCTACTCGGGAGGCTGAGGCAGGAGAATGGCGTGAACCCGGGAGGCGGAGCTTGCAGTGAGCCAAGATAGTGCCACTGCACTCCAGCCTGGGCAAGAGCGAGACTCTGTCTCAAAAACAAAAACAAAACAAAACAAAAAAGAATCCTTTTTAGGATGAGCAGGAAGTGAATAGGTTTTCATGCTAAAGGGAAAGATTAACTAGAAAGGCAGATGTTGAAGAGCCCAGAAACAGAGAAGTGGTATAAAAGAGCAAGGAGAAAAAAAAAGATGGCCAGGCGTGGTGGCTCACGCCTGTAATCCCAGCACTTTGGGAGGCTGAGGCAGGTGATCACTTGAGGTCAGGAGTTCGAGACCAGCCTGGCCAACATGGTGAAACCCCATCTCTACTAAAAATACAAAAATTAGCCGGGCGTGGTGGCAGGCACCTATAGCCCCAGCTACTCAGGAGGCTGAGGCTGCAGTGAGCTGAAATCACGCCACTGCACTTCAGCCTGGGTGACAGACCGAGACTCCATCTAAAAAAAAAGAAAAAGAAAAAGAGAACAAGGAGGTAAGTAGAAGGGAGAGAGTCAAGGGCATGATTGAAGTTGGCTTAAAAATCCTCTCTACTAAAACCAGAGGAAAAATAATAATGAGGCCGGGTGCGGTGACTCATGTAATCCCAGGACTTTGGGAGGCCAAGGTGGGAAGACTCTTAGGCCCAGCAGTTTGAGACCAGCCTGTGCAATACAGGGAAACCCCATCTCTACAAAAAATATAAATATAAAAAATTAGTCAGGCATAGTGATGTGCACATACAGTCCCAGTTATGTAGGAGGTTGAGGTGAGAGGATCACCTGAGCCTGGGAAGTCGAGGCTGCAGTGAGCTGTGATTGCATCACTGCACTCCAGCCTGGGCAACAGAGCAAGATCATCTGAAAAAAAAAAAAAAAAAGATGGCACGGAGGAAGAAGATAAATTTGTAGATAAGGAAGGTAGTGGTTAGTTGATGGAGATCTTTTCCATTAACCAACCTTCCCCTTTTATGATTTTTCACTAAATGTGACAAAGAATCTGTTAAGCAAAAGTAATTCTTCAGACTAAATCCAATTAGAATGGTCATGAATAAGAATCGCAGGATATTATACAGTATTAGAATCAAAGCATGCAATTAGTTGTAAGTTTAAAGGACAGAGCACATTCTGTTACTTCACCAAAGCCAGTATAGCATGTATTTTTGATCAGTCCTAAAAAGCCCTAAATGCAGCGGAAAATATGATTTAGGCCAAGAGCTGGCAAACTTTTCTGTAAAGAGACAGTCAAATTTTCTGGCTTTGCAAGTCCTACAGTCAGCTACAACTACTCAACTCTATGGCTACAGCCATCAAAACAGCCATAGACAATGCACAAACGCATGGGCATAGCTATGCTACAATAAAATTTATTTACTGATGAGCAGATTTGCTGACCCCTATCATCTAGGCTGAGAATACTGCAAAGAAAATGAAGCAGTAGGAAAAAGTATGAGGAACAATGGAATAAGGAAACAGAAGTAAAGCCATAGTTGAGTTGGAGTAAAGAGGAAAACATGAATAATGGCGCAACAGGAAGAGCAGAAAGAAAATGAAGGAAAAAAATAGAGGAGAAAGGAATACTGGAAATGGATGGAAAATCAAGTAAAAAACAAGCAGAGATAACAGGACAATTCCAAAGATACACGAATACAGAGCCAAAAGCGACTGAAGGCCCTAAGAAGTTTTAGCAAAATGAAGAGAACCTCAGATCTGTCTGCACTGGAATTCAAATAAAGGATAAATACAAACTGATTTTCCAATGATAATCTGATGGTCTCTTCTAATTATGAATGTGCCAAGGTGACTCACAGCTCATATGACGTAAAGGTACTTTCAGTTTCTCAGTAAATCAAACTGGAACATGTATAACATTCAAGAGACCAAAGGAAACTTATTCACTGTACCGTAAGAAGTCACTATTTCAAAGCCTTTTATTCATTTGCATATATGCATGAATATAACTTTTAAACTTTATTGAAATCAATGATGTTAGCATCAAGAACTTAAAAGTCACACTGACCTTACTCATGTTAAAAGGTTTCCCCAGCAGCCGAGTGTGGTGGCTCACGCCTGTAATCCTAGCACTTTGGGAGGCCAAGGTGGGTGGATCATGAGGTCAGGAATTTGAGAAGAGCCTGGCCAATATGGTGAAACCCCGTCTCTACTAAAAATATAAAAATTAGCTGGGCATGGTGGCAGACGCCTATAATCCCAGCTCCTCGGGAGGCTTAGGCAGAAGAATTGCTTGAACCTAGGAAGCAGAGGTTGCAGTGAGCTGAGATCACGCCACTGCACTCCAGCCTGGGTGACAGAGCGAGACTCCGCCTCAAAATAAAGGTTTCCCTGGCTGGGCGCGGTGGCTCACGCTTGTGATCCCAGCACTTTGGGAGGCCTAGGCAGGTGGATCACCTGAGGTCAGGAGTTCAAGACCAGCCTGACCAACGTGGAGAAACCCAGTCTCTACTAAAAATACAAAGTTAGCCGGGCATGGTGGCACATGCCTGTAATCCCAGCTACTCGGGAGGCTGAGATAGGAGAATCGCTTGAACCCAGAAGGCGGAGGTTGCAGTGAGCGAAGATTGCACCATTGCACTCCAGCCTGGGCGACAAGAGCAAAACTCCGTCCCAAGGAAAACAAAAAAGAAAAAAAAGGTTTCCCCAAAAATAAAGCCAAAGATTAAAAAAAAAAAAAAAAAACTTGAACAACATAATAGTCTGCATCTTATATTGCTTGAGAATTTTTTTTTTTTTTTTTTTTTTTTACTTTTAGCTTTATTTGTGGAGAAATCCTTTAACAACCATGGAACTTACTGGCTGGGCACAGTGGTTCATGCCTACAATCCCAGCAATTTGGGAGGCCCAGGTGGGTGGATCACCTAAGGTCAGGAGCTTGAAATCAGCCTGGCCAACATGGTAAAACCCCATCTCTACTAAAAATACAAAAATTACCCGGGTGTGGTGGTACGTGCCTGTAATCCCAGTTATTAGGGAGGCTGAAGCAAGATAACTGCTTGAACCCAGGAGGTGGAGGTTGCAGTGCGCCAAGATCACGCCACTGTACCCAGCCTGGGCGACAGAGCAAGACTCTGTCTCAAAACAAACAAACAAACATTAATTCGACTTATGACAACTGAGATAAACAACAAACCAAACCACATAATTTATGTCACTGCAGTATAATGTTAAGAACATGAGTTAGAGTAGAAAAGCTAGATTTGTGTCCTCACTTTAGCAAGTTTCCTAAATATGCCTGTTTCCTCATCTATGACGTGGATAATAGCTGTATCTACTACAGAAACAACTTGTGATGATTATGTGAACAAATGTAGGTAAATCTGTTAGCACAGAGTCTGGCACATAGAATATGCACTCAAATTTTAGTTAATATTATCAACCTTAATAATTTGACAGACTATTACAGAAGAGAATTATAAAAGCTCAGAAATGAAATCAATTCATATCTTTTAGGAAAATACAATGTCATATTAGTATACTCTAATCATTCATCCACTTCTATTATAAAAAACACTCTATCTATCCATTCAAGATGTGGAAAAGTACTATCAAATGATAACAGCAGAGACTATTTCAGGCAGTTGCCAATTCTGAGACAGAAAGGGGACTGTGAGGCAAGAAAATAAAGCACAAATTCTTTTTTTATTCTGTTGCCCAGGCTGGAGTGCAGTGGCATGATCTCGCAATCTCTGCCTCCCGGGTTCAAGCGATTCTTCTGCCTCAGCCTCTCCCCAAGTAGCTGGGATTATAGACATGTGCCATCACGTCCCGCTAATTTTTTACTTTTTTAGTAAAGACGGGGTTTCAACATGTTGGCCAGGCTGGTCTCGAACTCCTGACCTCAAATGATCTGCCCACCTTGGTCTCCCAAAGTGAGATTACAGGAGTGAGCCACCGCACCTGGCCTAGAAAGCACAAATTCTCAAGGCCACAGAACAGAGCCACTCCTGGGATCTCATCACATGAAACCCATAGCTCACACCCTGACTGTCCAGAGCCTCACCCAGGCTAATTATAATTAAACCAGGATCCCTAGAAGTGAGAACATTTTTAAAAACTCCCCAGGTGACTAAACGTGAACCCAGCATTAAGAAGCATTGATTAAACCATACCTTCCTTTACTTTGGGAGTAATCTGAGTAAGTCTCTAATAAAAAATAAAAAAAATCTAGATGCAGTAATAAATGCCTTAATTTTGTTATTAAGGAAAACCATGCGGCCTGGCCAACATGGTGAAACCCAGTCTGTACTAAGAATACAAACAAAAAAAAAAATTAGCAGGGCATGGTGGTATGTGCCTATAATCCCAGCTACTCGGGAGGCTGAGGCAGGAGAATCGCTTAAACCCAGGAGGCAGAGGTTGCAGTGAGCCGAGATCGCACCACTGCACTCCAGCCTGGGAAATAGAGTGAGACTCCATCTCGAAATAAAAAAAAAAAGAAGGAAACCATGCCAATTAATAATTCTAAAATGGTTTTCTCCATACTGATAGTACTTCCTAATTAATACTTTTCTTCTTTTATAGAAGAGGGCAATTTCTGCCTGGATAGTCTTAGCTTAAGAGACCTGATGTCCTAAACACATGACTTAATACTATTTTCAGGATACTACGCACTGGACGCAATTGTATAATTCACTAAACCACTGTAAGTTTTGAAATAAGATACCTGCCCAGGCGTGGTGGCTCACGCCTATAATCCCAGCACTCTGGGAGGCCAAGGCAGGAGGATCACAAGGTCAGGAGTTCAAGACCAGCCTGGCCAACATAGTGAAACCCCGTCTCTACTAAAAATACAAAAATTAGCCGGGCATGGTGGCACATGCCTCAGTAACCAGCTACTCGGGAGGCTGAGGCAAGAGAATCGCTTGAACCCAGGAGGCAGAGGTTGCGGTGAGCCGAGATCAGGCCACTGCACTCCAGCCTGGGCAACAGAGCGAAACTCCGTCTCCAAAAAAAAAAAAAAAAAGAGAGAGAAAAGAAAAAATAAGATACCTGAAATTACTCCAATAGTGGATGTCCTCATCAAGAAAACTAATTTTGTAATATATAGCAAAATACACCCATCCCCTTATGAGTAGAGTGAGATTTTCAAAGTTGTCACTCTGATCTGTATTTTCTTGCCTTTCTATAATGAACTAAAATTATCTGAGAAATGAAGATCTAATAAAGTAATAAAAATTTAATGACATTAATTTTGAAGAGGAGCAAGGAATGGACTATCACAAACATCTCAAAGTAATATTCACTCTTCCACATTTGGGAAATATCAATTCATCATAAAAACAAAAAGACAATGCATACCGTAAATGGCTGTTAAATGACCTGGTATCCAATAGAGTAGGGAACCTTTTTTTTTGTTGTGGCCAATACTCTTTCCAGAGTGCTATGTATTAAATTCAACTAAAATTTTATCTTCCAAAGTCAATTTTTGAATTTATAACAGAGGAATATTTCAATAGTATAAGTATAAATAATTTAGTGCTCCTAGACATAAACAAAATCAACTCCAAAGGTAGCAGCTAAAAAAAGACTTGTTTCCTTGTATGGGATGCTGAAGGCCTCTTAAGACAAAAAGTTGTGAATCAAAGACAAGGACATTTGAGAAGATTCAAAAACAGAACACTGTGCTTTCATCAGCATATCAAGACAGTTAAAGAATACCCAGTACTGTTAGCCTCTGAAAAAGCAAGCAAAGAGAAAGACTCCTAAGTCTAAGAGAAAGAATCCTGGTATATTATTATTTCCAAGTAACAGTGTAGAAGAATCAGCCCAACAATAAAAACAGCTTTTGGTATAGATTTGAATAGTGAAAATCAAATTGTACTGAACTACAATTTACAACAGAATTACGTATTTCACTACAGAATTTGGCATATACAAATAAATAAAAGAATTTTAGAACCGGCTGGGTGCAGTGGCTCATG